>NC_000015.10:92198853-92350369 GCF_000001405.40 Homo sapiens | reverse complement strand
TCATCCAGGGAGGCCATAGATTGGCGAAGTGCGTCCTCTGCACCACCCAATGCTCCACTGCAATGGAAGCACTTGAGGCTGTGAGTGCCTTTGTTTCCCACTAATCTCGTCAACTGATACCTTCATTTCTTATTTCCCTTGCCAGGTGCAGCTCTGTGTGTTTTGTTCTGTTCTTTGAATCTCATTACTTTTTCTTTCCATCATCACAGGCTTCTCTGGATTGTGAGTGGGTTCTGTTAAAATGTCTACTTTGGAACATGTGAGTATTTTGACTATGGCTTTTGTGATTTACTTGTAAAGGATCTGTTAAAACAAACCAAAGCAGTGCATAAAGGGCACATCTGGGTAAACTGTCCCCCACTCCTACCCAAGTGCAAAAGTGCATGGTGGAGGAGGCAGCATAACTGCCTTAGAACCAGATAGGATAGATGGGATTCCCAACCCCATGTCTTGCTGCCTGTGTGGCCTTGGACAAATTCCTAACCCTCCCTAAACTCCAGTTTTCAAACATAAAAAATGGGAATGCTAGCACTCTTTTTATGTTGGATGAGAAGTCAAAGAGGCTGAAGTGCTCAGTAAATGTTAGTGCCCCACATCTGCCCACAGGGAGGACTTGGTGGTGATCACAATTGGCTTCTGCCATCAGCCCAAATCTCTTTCTCATTTCACTTTGCTTTTGCTATCAGTTAGTGCCCATTCAGGTCCAGCATTCTGATGGCCAGGCAGTTGCCTCTGCTAACTTATCCAGATGCTCTGATTCTAGCAATATCTGATTCATATCTCCACCTTGGGGATTTAAATGAAAATTGCTCTACTGTTGCCTTCTAAAAGAATGTCTGTCAGTTCTATCAACTCTGGGAATTGCTGGGCTCCAAGCTCCCCCTCAAGGAAGACTTTTAGCAACATGGCTTAGATGATAGTACAAATAATGTCTAGTGAACACCTGCTGTGTGCTAGACATTATGCTCTGTTGTCTCACTAATGCTAGAAAAAATGACTATTACTTTATGGTACCGTTGATAGCTCAAGGGAGTGCTTACATGTATATGTCTAATCCAGTAGGGTGAAACTCCTCTTTCTCTCTTATAGGGTGATATTCAAAATATTTTCCAGTGAGCAGGGCTTGGATACCAATCAATCAGGATGAGGCACTGAGGGATGGCACTTGGGAGTTTTGGGGACAGCAGCTATTTAACCATCAGAATGGAAACATCTTAATAGTTCAATTTTCAATATTTTAACAGTTGATATGGCTGAGCTAGGTGACCTGTGTTTATATCAACCCAAGCCTCTTCCTTAATGGTTCAGACACTGGAATGATGAAGAAATATTTCTTTACATACGTTAGTTGCTGTTAGGGAAAATGCTGCCCTTCGGCTGCCAGAGGTAGAGAATGAAAGTCAGATCCATGGCCTCTGGGATTTCAGACAGGCAGAAGCAGGTGGGCTAGTTGAGGGCATGTAGCCTGGGGGTTAAGAGCTCAGATATTGGGTTAGATGGCCTCTCTCCGTCTCTTACTGCCTTTGTTATCAGCTTATTGAATCTCAAGTTTTTCCATTTCTAAAATGGTGACAACAGTACGACCTCATAGGCTTTTAATGCAATTTTATGAAACAAGGTGTGTAAGTCACTTAACACTGCTACTGGTTGTTCATATAATTGGGATAATATTTTAAAAACACCTTTCCCAGTTTCTTTTCTTTTCAGTAATCTTTTTTTCTTCCTTTGATTTTTCTGTCTTCATTGCCTGAGGGAAAGAAAGGACAAATGTGTCAAGAAAGGAAGAGGATATGTAAGAGGCACAGCTCCTATCAGACCATAGGAGGAAATAGAAAGTCCTTCTATAGTTGGGAAGGATGAGGAAGAGTGAGAGGATGAGGAAGAGCGAGAGGGAGAAGGGCAGAGAGTCAGACACAGTGTTCTTGCTTTATTCCTGCTCCAAATCTTCTGGGAAGCTGAGGAGGATTTTTTTTCAGAAATACCTAAGGGATTTAGGTGAATCCCAGAATAAGACAACTTGCTCTTTGTTTCCCAAAGTGCAGCCCAGGAAAACTCAGCTTGGCACCAGGATAGAAGGGTGCAGCCCAAGAGGTAGAGGACAGGGGCTGAGGATTTCTGGTCCTGAGATAGTGCCCAGTTCCCCTATACCCACCCCTGGCATCTGGGGCCCCGGAAGTTCCTGCATGTCCCAGTTGGGGGGACACAAAGTACTGGGAGATTCTGGTGTCCAGAATGCTGTGGGAAAATAGCTCCGGCAAGCGAGGACCTCCTAAGTGGAGGCACATGGGGGGGACTCCACACTTCCCCTTGGACCTCAGCAAGATACCCAGGAAACAGGTAATAACAGTTACTCCCAGTGAATACCAGCACGGGAAAGCCAGCAATGAGGCAAGAAGAGGGACCACATAGCAGTGGGGCCTGAGGACCCAGGAATAGAGTAGAGTAGACCAGTGGTTCTGCTCCCTTCTGCCCTTGAGTACCAGCTTGGGAAGAAGAAGAGAGGGAAGAGACCTCTTAAAGGGAGAAAAAAGAGCCAGATAGTGTGGAATTTGAATCGAGAAAGAACTGAGAAGTTGCTACCTTCAATAGATAGTGATACATTTTTCTCCTTCTCAGCACCATTCTACTGTCCTCCAAAATGGGGCTCAGATGAAGCCAGTTTCAGACATTGACTTTGTAGTAGGTATGTTTGGATCAGTCGCATCAGCTATTATTAGTAGCAATGAGACGAAGCAAATAACTTCATTGGCTCCAACACCGTGCCTGGCAATGGTCACATGTGAGGCAAGAATAGCATAGCACCAGGGAGCTCTTGATACTTCCCACCCAAGAGCAGCCCATCACACTCCTCCAAGGAGAGCCCAGCAGGCCAGGGAGCCGCTCCCACACAAAATCTCGGGGCCACACCCCCAGCTCCTCTTGTCTTTCAGCATCTTCTCTTCTCTTCATCCCTTTGCTGCACCTGTTTGTATTCATGGCCTGAATTCACACTCTTCTTCCTGGACCTGACCACACACTTCTCCAGTTGGTGTGTATTAGAACTCACTTAGGAAATCATCTCATTCTCTGATCACGGCCCCGTCTCCTCGAATGTGGTCCCTGGTTACCTTCTTCCTTGCTCTGACAGCTGTCACAGCTTGAAGTCCAGGACCTACCCATAGTTTCAGCTACTCTCTTGCCAGCATCCTTGCCTCAAACTCCTTCATCTCACCCTCCTACCAAAGCTCCAACTCTGTACCATTCAACTCCCAGCCCTCCCTGGTAGGTGGCACGGGAAGAAGCAAGCACGCACCCACCCACACTGGGATGGATGCACATTCCCAACATTCCACCCTAAATGAAGCTGGGCCACTGCCCAGGAGCACTTCTGTTTTCACCAGCCAGCTCTTGGTCCCATTCTTCATGATGGCTTTAATCCGATCACTCCTGTGCCCACCCAGTCTCAGCAGGTGATATGACTCTCTATCACCAGAGAAAACGACCACCACCAGAGTAAACATCCTCAAGACTTCCTCCAGCTGCCTCAGACCTACAAATGGACGTGCACCTGAGCTTAGCTGTGTCTCCTTTCCCTCTGCACCACAGACCAGGCCACCTCCAGTGCCTTGGACTCAACACCCTTCTATTCCCTTTGGACTCCCAGCTGGTCACTAAGTCTCATGAGTCTTTTCAGATCTTATCTGGTTTGACATTTTGGGAGGATTTCTCCCTTAAAAAAATCCATACCACCCCATTTTGATGCCAATTCATTACACTTTCTAGGATCTCCATGTACATTGCTGGCTACTTCTACTCAATCCCTTTTTTAGGGGAGGGCTTCTTTGTCCCTAAAACTCATCCTTTAACCCACTGGCACACTCCCCTCCCACGTGTTCAGCAACCAGGAGCTCTCTCAACCCAGCCCTTTTGGGTTTTTATGGAGGCTTCATTATAAAGCCATGACTAATGACATCATTGGCCATTGGTGATCAATTAATTCAACCTTCAGCCCCTCTCCCCTCCCTGGAGGTTGAGGGGTGGGGCTCAAAGTTCCAACTCTCTGGTCACATGGTTGGTTTCCCTGACAACCAGCCCCCATCCTGGTGCTATCCTGAAATCCAGCAAGAGTCACCTCATTAAAACAAAAGATACTCCTGCCACTCTGGAAATTCCAAGGGATTTAAGAGCTCTGTGTCAGATGCTTCTATCACTCAGGAAATTACAAAGGTCTTAGGAGCTCTGTGTCAGGAACTGGGGTCAAAGATCAAATATAAGAACAAAAGATTCTCCTAGTGCCCCTATCTACAAGGGTTTTAAGAGCTCTATGTCAGGAACTAGACACAGAGACCAATATACGTATTTCATATTATATCACAATGTCACAGTACTGCCTGCCTCGGAGTAGACATGAAGCAATACTTATTGGGTTGTCATTGTCCTTCCCTTAGCCCATTGCCCTGCAGGGTCCAGGACACCATTTGGATGCTTTAGATATCACTAGTACTCAATGACAACTCAGTTCCTAGTCACAGGGGCCCCAGGTGCATGTTTCTTCCCATCACTGGGGCACACCTGTGTGCTCTCTCCCTCCATCAATGGCTTTGCAAGAAGCCCAATCAGCGTGATGTTTTTTTTTTTGCTTGGCTGGAGACTGATCCTGCATTGATTCTAAGCCCTGGTCCTAGTTCCCATGCTCACCATTCTAAGTCCTTGAGCGAGGCCAGACACTATAGAACCTGCAACCCTAAACTCAGACATTACACCTACAAAATTCAGTCATATGCCCCCGGGGCCCCCCTACCTGGTGCCTTTCCCAAAGCTAACCCCTGCATACAGGCAGGGGTGGGGCACAGGTCAGATGGCGTTTGATAACAAATGAATCCCAGTTAGTGTAAGCAGAAGGGGATCAGTCTGTCTCGTGGACAAAGCACAAAACAAGAATGCAGATAAAGAGTCCCAGGCATGGTGGGAGTCCCAGGCCCTCTCTCACCCCTAGTCCAACTGACCGGCATTCCTTCCTCTTCACTTTCTGTGTCCATATCTTATGACTTCATCTTCTGTTCCCAGCCCCTTGCTTTCAGCATTGATTTCAGAGTGTGGAACTTACTCTCTGCCTCTTGCTAGCTGATTATTGTATCAAGCACCTCATCATCTAGCCAGCCTGCCCACCCCTTGCCCCACAAAGTGGGCATGGACAAAGCATGCGCATGGGTAGGGTTGAGCCTGTATGTCAGTGCAGTTTCATGATTTTCCTTGTTTGTTGGTCTACAGGCCTTCTTCATCTGCTCCCTGACCAAGACTGCCAGCTTGTAAGACCCTCCTCAGCCTCACTCCCTTACTTCACTGGCCACACTTCCCTACACCACATTTCAGAACTGTGTGCTTGCCATGTGCTGTTCCTCTCCTTGCAATGCCCTTCCTCGTCTCTGCCTTGTGACCTTTTACCCATTCTTCCAGGAAATGCTCCTTGTTTTCTGAAGCTTCCCTATTGCTGCAGCAGAGTCAGGCATCCCCTCCTGTGTGCATTCATGACACTCCATACTAATCTTCATCAGAGCAATTGCCAGATTGTGTGGCCGTGATCTGTTCGCAGGTCCGTCTCCCTGATTAAAACACGAACTTGCTCAGTAGGTCTCATTCATCTCTGATTGCCTGTGACCAGCCCAAAGCCCTGCAGATAATTGGTGCTCAGCATAACTTTTGTTACAATAAAGCACGGACCCCAAAGAGAAAAGATCCCATTTAGCAAGCCTAGAACAACCTCAGGCAAGAGGAGTAAGTGCCCCTAGGAGAATAAGCCGCAGAGGCTTCTCTCCCTCCCCACTTGTCCTTCCGCTGCGCTGCTCCCACTTCTTTTGTGATTTAATTGGGATTTGGCACTTCAGCCTCTTGGCTGGCCCCTTTAGGAGGAGAGTCATCAGCAAGGAAAGCTCTCCACGTTGCCTCACACCTACAGTGCTCGCTGAAATGATGCCTCTGCCCCTCCTCACCCCTCTAGCACCTGAGCAGGCTGGCCAGGGGCCCTGCACTGGGTTGGATTGGTGAGCAAAGTGGCTTAGAGGAGTCCCTGCACCTGGCAGCATATTATCTTGGCAGCGCTGGAGCTTAGGAAATTAATGAAAAGGGAGGGAAGTCGCTGGGATTTTAGATTTGCAATCAGGGGCTCTGCGACCCCCTAAGCTGGCAGTATTAAGGGAGCTAATCTGCTGACCGTAGGAGCTCAGCTGGTCTCCGTTTGCTGCGCTCCGCTTCACAGCAGGAGCCGGGCACTTTTTTCTCATGCCAGACAATGAGATGCTGGTGGAGAGGCAGCAGGCATGCCACTGCAAATGCCAGGCAGGGGCAGCCGTGCCAAGATTTGGAGGAGCAGATGATTCCCTGGCAGCCCACGAGGCTTAACCCATCCGGCTACTGATTCAAGAGGAAATCTGGAAGGAAACTGATGTTCCTTGAGCACCCACTACGTGCCAGACGCTTTATGTGGTTACCTCACTGAGTCTGCTTGACAACTCTGGGGTCTGTGCCTGTCAACCCATCTGACAGAGGAAAAACCCTGGGCTCCTGAGGTTAAGTTCCTGCTTACAGCAGGGCCACCTCTTACTGTCCTGCAGGCTGTGCCCCGCAATAGGGCCCTTGGACAAGCTGGCAAATGAGGGCTGTAATGCAGCCCACATTCTTGAGTTGCCAAGCTGCACCCGGAGGGGACACGTTTTCTAATTTACAAAGTTCTCCGGAGACCGGCTACCACCCTGCTTCACAGCTGGAACCAGGATTCAAATCAGGTTGGTCCACATCCTCAGTCCTGCTTCCCTGTGTATTTCAGCCTTGATTACAAACCCAAAGGAGGTCTAAACTCAGGTCACAGCGAATCAACTAGAAAGTGGGAGGGACTCAGTGGTGGAAAGAACAGGATCCATTGACTTGGTTTTCCCCTGGCATTGTATTTCTTCTAATCATGGCTTGATTCTTTACTTGTGAGTCCTCTGGCTACTTCTCATTTTTCAATAAAAACTTCGGGCTGTAGTTAGATAGGGTAGGAAGATGGAGACATCCTTTTACTTTTTTTTTTTTTTTTAAATCTGTCCTCAGTAACCAACACTCTTTCAAAACTTGAGTTTTTCTGGCCATAAGGCGGATAGCTTGATTGGTCTGCTTACTATGATAAAGTTAGGTCTTGGAGGTCAGAAGCTTCAAGAAATTGCTGTAAATAATACAATTAAGCCCAGCCAAACACATCCCAAATGACGGCTTCACTGCTGTCTCCTTAGTGCATCCTCTGCCTCCATTTTCACCCTCATCAGCCCATCTGACAGACCTCTGGCAGATAAGCTTTCGTGAATCAGCTCATCATTTTTTCTTCCCAACTCAGAAGCCTTCAGGGGGTTAATTAGAGGATAAAGTCCTAACTTTATCCAAAGTGGTTCTCAAAGTGTGGTCCCCAGGCCAGCAGCATCGGCATCAGCATAACCCGGGAACTTGTTAGAAATGCGAAAATTTAGGGCTGTCCTCCAGACCTGCTGAATCAGAAACTCTGGGGGTGAGGTCCAGCAATCTGTGTTAGTACAAGCCAAGTACTTCCCAATTCTTGCTGAAGTTTGGCCTATCCTAAGTTGTGGTCTGTTCTATATTTGGACTTGCCATCATTTTGTTACCTTTTACTCCAACTTCTCCTGGCTCTCCTGGTCATGAGCTATTTATTTGTCCTCTGCTTCTGTGATATCCTCCCAAGTGACAGAAGCAGCTAGATGCCTCCACCTTCTGCTTCCTTATTAACATATCAGTATCATGAAGACACCATTGTGCCTAGTTGACCTCTTCATTTCCTTTGCAACTAGGTATGGTCACAGGATTAAATTCTAGCTAATGATTTTTTTTTGAGACAGAGTCTCACTCTGCCATCCAGGCTAGAGTGCAGTGGCGTGATCTCCTTTCACTGCAACCTCTGTCTCCCAGTTTCAAGTGATTCTCATGCCTCAGCCCCTCCTCGTACCTGGGATTACAGACGTGCGCCACCACGCCTGGCTAATTTTTGTATTTTTAGTAGAGATGGGGTTTCCCCATGTTGGCCAGGCTGTCTCAAACTCAAACTCCTGACCTCAGGTGATCCACCCGCCTTGGCCTCCCAAAGTGCTGGGATCACAAGTGTGAGCCACTGTGCCCAGCCTAGCTAATGATTTTAAATGGAAGTTATTGGGAGGAACCTTTGAGAAGGAAGGACAGACAGCTGGGGTGAGCCCCTTTTTGCCTTTTTACTTGTCATTCTTCCTCATGACTGCTGCCTGCAATACGAATATAACGCTGGAACCCTAACAGCCTTCTAGAACTTTGGGGTAGCCTCAACAGGGACGCTACACACAGGCAAGCAGAAAGAAGGAAAAAGTTCATGTCCCTGATGATCATGACACCACCATAGCAGCCGTGGACATCTGACCTCTGGGTTTTACAGGAAAGAGAGAAGCCCTCATATGTACAAGCCACAGAAATCTGCTGTTAATAGCACCCAAAGCAATGTAACTTCAAATAGCTTCCAAGCCTCTCTTCATTTGTACATATCCAACCTGCTGTTCAAGGCCCAGTTTGTTTCATGTCTTATTTACTTTACAAATGATTTAACACGGCATCATCACAGGCCGGCATGGTGTAGACTTTCTCCCCTGCCAGTCCGTGGGGCTGTGCCTGCTCTTTTAGGGCAGGGTCTCAGACTCATTCATCTTTGTATCTACAGATACTAACAGGAATCTGAGGGAGACAAAGCCTAGGGGTTCCCCTAGTATCTGTGCCCGAGTTCTTACGTCCCCACTGTTGTGCCAAACCCTGTTAACCTCAGTAGGGAAGGCACCAGGTTCAAGAGGCTGAAGAAGAGATCCAGAGCCAGCAAACGAGACATGGGGTTCTATTAGGGGCTTACATACAGGGGAGAGAGTCCAATGGCAGCGGGCTGGACAAAGTACCTGCCTTACATACAGTCCAGTGGCATGGGCTTGACAGATAACTGCACAGTCCAGTGGTGGTGGGAAGGGTAGGAAAACCACAACAATTGCAAACAGCATACAGCCTCCACAGCATTTTCACTTAACACCCTCCTCTTAACGGCTTCCACCAGGCAGCCTTCATTGAACCCACAACTCAGGGTCTCAATGCTCTATCCAGCCCGTGTTCCGCAGGATGTGCCGGGGACTCAGGTGTTTCTCATAGACAAGGAATGAATCTCTGGGTTGGCCACTCCTGGACTCCCTAGCTCAGAACACGCACTCAGGTGCATCTGCTATAAAGTGTCATTCTTAGGGTGGGCTTAAGTTATTGCTATCAGGTGCATTTACCCTAGAACCGTTCAAAAGGAAAGTGGCATTTACCGGGCACCTATTGTAGGCCACGTACCATGGTAGGCATTTTTTCCCACTCATGATTTCATTCCTTTCTGTCAGGCACCCAGAAACATTTGGATTATCTTCATGGTACATTTGAGGACTCTGAGCTTGCGTGAGATAAAAATGACCTGCTGGCTTATCACAGCACAGCTGGTAGCTGATGGAAGTGGGGTTTGGGATGTTTCTGGTTGTAAGACACAAAATCCAATTTAAACTGTCTTAAATGATAAAGGGAAATGATTGGCTTATTACAAAGCCCAAAACCTCCAGAGGTAGGCTGGATTTAGGCAAGTGTAGTCCTAGAAGGCTCCTTCGTCTACAATCAGTAAAATCACTGGATTTCACTCTTGTTGAACCAACTTAGCTTCCTTGCCTACTCCTGAACCATTTGCGGGGTTGATGACAATGGGATACACATTTGCAGCCTCCAGGCAAGTATACCAATAGAGGTTTCCAGGCAATAGCCTGTCCCTTTTCTCATCCACCGCCTGACTCCATTCCACATATGGGGACACCCCCACCCTAAGTGCAAACTCCACATCTGGACTAGCGGCGTCGCACTGGCAGCACAATCTGCCTTTGGGAGGACAGAACTGGAGAAGAAGCCAGTGGGTGCCCTAACAGTATAGCCTGGACTCCTTGGCCATGGTCTGCAAAAGGAGGTGCAGGCTCTTGGTGGGCCTGTCCCCTTAGTCCCTCAGACTCTTACCTTGTAGGGAAATAATGGATGAAGAAGGGTCAGAGCTGAGCCCCCAAAGAGGGGCCCAGGGTAGGGGCCGTGTTGCCTAGTTGTGGTTCTGGATAGAGTGAGCCTCAGCAGATGGCTTTTTCCAGACCTGGAAGTATCATCACACACACTTGAACCCCAAACCTGAATAAATTGGAGTATGGTTAGGAAGGAGTGACATGAGAATGGATGCTGAAGAGGCAACCCTGAACTATCTCTACAGTGGCCCAGAAGAGCTTACAGGCAGGGTCTGTGTTTTGTTCACCATTGGTTTCCTAGCATCATTACAGAGCTAGGCCTGAAGTGAGTGCTAGATATATATTTATGAAATGCTGAATGATTGAATCAAAAAGGCTTCCTGTCATCCCTGTCACTCGTAGTTTTTTTTATATGTGTCTAAGTCTTTTTGCTTTTCTTCATTTCATGCAACCTTTTGAGTTGCTCCAGATGGATCTGCTGAGACTCCACCCTTAGGTCAGGGCTGCAGGTGGGCCAGGCTCAGTTTCCTCCCTTGGCTGGAGTGACATCAATCGAGGCTGGACACACAATTCCAAATGAGAAACTTGGTGCCCATAACTAAAGGGCACCACATCTCCTGTACATTCCATGTCCTCAAACGTTGAGTTTCCAAGTATGTGGCATGCATCGTAGTCAGTCTCCTAGATTTTTAGATCTCGACATTAGAATTTTTTTCACATGAGAGGTATAATCCTGCTAGTCATCACAAAGCATTTTGCTTGTCCAAGTTAGTGCTATCAATGGCCATCAGTGGAAATAACTACACTTTACTGCTCAGACTGGCCAGGCCTGTCTTCCCTCCTTTCTTCACAATCAACAAGGGCCAGCCCTGTGCTCCTTGTGTGCCAGCTCCTGGCAGTGCCTTCTCTGAAAGGGAATTTTCCTGTCCCTGTGATGAGAACAAAATGTATGTCACCTCCTGCCCCCGAGAGATAGCACTGCATTTTTTGAAACATAAATTTTGACCTGTGATAATGGCCATCCTCAGATGATGGCCTGTCCCTGGACAGCTGGGCCTGGGGCTCTGTTGAAACAGTTGCACAAAACACACTGAAAATGAGACCACTCTGGTTCAGTATTTTAATCGTTTGAGTAAGTAATTTGAATCAGCACAAGCTAACCCAGTGGGGTATGAGTAATCTACATATTCTGAAGTCTCCAAACAGGTTCCCAGGGCTGGCAGAATCTGCAGTGCAGGGACCCATGTTTCATTTAACTTGTTCTTAACTCAAATGTTCTTCCTACTCACTGTGCCCATCAGTTCCTCCTGAATCAGCAGATTGGTATAAATTCTCTGGGGTAATGGTTAGAGAACTATAAGTACAAGAGCTGCATTTCAAATACATTTTCTGTTGACTGGCCTACAGCAAGTTCTAAATAAAGGGTAGCAAGTCTCATGAGGACACAAAGCCAGGTCTGCTTTGTTGCCTCTTATGTCTTGAGTACCAGCACAGTGATAGGTGCTATGAGGCTTGTAATTAATAACGAATGAAGGAAGGAGTGAATTCTCTGTCCCTGGATCCAGTAGGCTTAGGGTTCATTTCTTCTCTGTCCATACCCTACCCAGAAGATAAAGGAATAGCTACCCCCTTGGCTTGAGAGTGTCAGCCTTAGAGAATTGCCAGTCCTGACGTGTTCAATGTTGTTGATTTCAGGAGATTTCTCTGTTGCGGGCCCTGGTGCAGAAGTAGGCACTGTGAACTGAGCTGGTGAGCCTGAGTGTGAAGGTGCATGCAGCGCTGGTCTTCACTCTCATTCTCATCATTGCCAGGGTGGCCAGGGCCGATTAGGAAAAGAGGTGTTAAAAATGTAAGTGTCCAGGAAGTTAAGGCCTAATTTAAGCTTTGGGCTTAGAACAAATGTTCTCTAATTTAGAGTGAGACCCTGTTAACAAAATGACATTTATGGTTTTCAGTTTCAAAGATGCAAGGGAAAAAATCAAATCCCGAATGCAATGTCTCACCAGTGAAAGATGAAACCCACACAAGTTACAAATGACCGTGTAATGGATTTCTGATGGATGACTGTGATATGGTTACATGGTGTTTTGAATGTGACAGGATCTGAAGAAGGAGACAAGGAAAGTATTGGAGAAATATTATTCTTGAGTTTAGATGCCGTCTGAACAGATGTTGCTGTAGGCTGAGTAATGGTCCTTCAAATACATCCATGCCCTCCTCCCTGGAACCTCTGAATGTTACCTTATATAGCAAAAGGGACTTTGCAGATGTGACTGCTAAGTCTCCTGAGATGGGGAGATTATCCTGGATTTTCCAGGGGGTTTCATAGAGTCACAGTGGTCCTTACAAAAGGGTGGCAGGAGGAGTTGGAGGAGAAGGAGATGTGACCTTGGAAGCAGAAATGAGAGTGGTGAGTTTTGAAGATGGATGAAGGGTCATGAGCCAAGGAATACAGGTGGCCCCTAGATGCTGAAGGAAGCAAGGAGCAGATTCTTCTCCCCTCGGAGCCTCCATCAGCAACCAGCCCTGGTGATGCCTTGATTTTAGTCCAGTGAGACTGACTGCAGACTTCTGATCTTTAGAACCGTAAGAGAGATAAATGGTATTATTTTGAGTCAGTGCTTCAGTGGTACTTGGTTACAGGAACAATAGGAAACCAACATAGAAGTCAACCCTGACTTGACTCCTGATCTTATAATGAGTAGTTTCTTGTATGTCCGTCCTTATTTTTTTATTTGGAATTTCGGTGACTTGGTGTGTAGATGTATTAATACATAAAGCATAAGGGGATTGCAATGGGGAGCAAGTCCGTGTCACCAGTTTGCAGTCATTCTGCATTCCAGTCACTTGAGAAAGTGAATCTGAGCTTTTGTGGCCTTGGTAGCCAAGGGTGGTTCCCACTTCCAAAGAAAGCGTTAGACAACAGAAATGTGTTCTATACAAAATAACCTTCTCAGGTTGGACCCTTCTAAACCATTCACCATAAAACCTTTGAGGATGTCATTTTAAGTCTCTGTAATTGGGTGCGGTAAGATGGTTAAAAGCATGGACTTTCAGGTTACAAAAGGTAACCTGGGTTCAAACCTTAGATACAACACTCCAGCTTTGGGAGTGCTAGTTAAAGAATAACTAGTTCTGGGGCTAGTTAAATAACATTTCTAGGCAATGTTTCATCTGTAAAATGAATAATAAAACAATCTTCATAAGATACCTTGAAGATGGAATAAAATACTATCTGCAAAGGGGCTAGCCCGTAGCCTGCCACATACTGTTCATTTAATCAGTGGATGTTATTATCCACTCATCTGTGGAAGGGCCACGGTAATCACCCACATGAATGCTACAAGGGCCAATACAAATCCATCTTGGGAACACTTGTCATCTTTTGATCATCTAACAGATAAAAAATCAGGGGCAAGTCCTTGGTACCATTGTACAGTCCTAGCTTGGATTAGGCAAGAGGAGTGTGCAGTGTGTCATGCTCTCTTTCCCTTGACTCTTCAGTAGTAGGAGCACATGCCAAGTGAAGCCTTTCTTGGCCTGGACCCAGGAGTGACTGTGATGGGCAGAACCCCTTGCTGACCTGCAATGGCCACATAGACATGTGGCACTAGGGAGTTCTCTGAGCACCAGCCTGACATCTATCAGCATAAGTGACTGCTCCAATTGCACACCTCTGAGTGACATCTCAAACTGAATATGCGCAAACCAAATTCTTACTTCCCTCTCTTCTCAGAAATGCTCTCCACAGCCATACCCACTTCATCATGCAGTACTATCACCCTGCCAATTGTTTAAGCTAAAACCTAGAGATCTTCCTGGATCTTTCCCCATGTCTATTTCATCAGCAAATCGGTTCTATTTCCAAACAGAATAAAGGCTATTCACTAATCTGCATCTCCAGCACAACCACTCTAATCCAGGCCAGGGGCAATGCAATTGCCTCCTAATTCTCTTTGCTTTTATGCCTATCTTTCTACACCTGTTCTCTGCGCAACATCCAGAGTGATCTTTTAAAATCAGGAAGTGTATCTTGTCACTCTCCTGCTTAAAATCCATTCATTCATTCACTACCACATTTTTACAGATAAATTATTAAGTACAAGGCACTCTTCCTACACACTGGGGATACAGCAATATAAAGGCATTCCCTTTCTTATAGGTGCACATACATAGGCTCACGAACAACTGCTCAACAGCGTAGAGAAATAAAAATCAAGGTCATCAGCTGAAAATGAGATGGAGGGAAAAGGTTTAGGCAGTTTAAGGCAAGAGGAGAAGGTAGGTGAGGGTTGTTTTGGAGATGAGGAGATAAGTTGACTAGGGAACTGGCGTAGAGTTGCCAGCACAACCCTTGAGGTTGTGCACATAAATTTAATGCCGAACAAGTTCTCTCCAGCTACATCCAGCTCCTTCAAGGCAAATGGAGTATTTTTGCGGGTTTGGGATTTTGTTAGACAAGTGCAATGGCAGAAAGAGGGGAAGGAAGTTGAAACTATAAAAAGAAAGAGTTTATTGTGATGGGCTATGGATTTAAGCTGAGAAAGAAGGAGAATGAGAACTTGAGGGAGCAATGGATGATAAAAGAATGTTGCTGACTGGGCACAGTGACTCATGCCTGTAATCCCAACACTTTGGGAGGCTGAGGCAAGCAGATTGAACCCAGGAGTTCGAGACCAGCTGGACAACACAGTGAGACCCCCATCTCTACAAAAAGTACAAAAATTAGCCAGGTGTGGTGACACATGCCTGTGGTCCCAGCTACTCGGGAGGCTGAGTAGGGAGGATTGCTTCAGCCCAGGAGGTCAAGGATGTAGTGAGCTGTGATCATGCCACTGCACTCCAGCCTGAGCAACAGAGTGAGACCCTGTCTCAGAAAAAGAAGAGAGAGGGAGGGAAGGAGGGAGGGAGGGAGAGAGAGAGAGAGTTAGAGTTAGAGTTAGGTTCCATGGGCTAGAGTGGTCTTTGTGGGGTTAAGGAATGGTTGGAATTAATACTACAAGGAATAATGATGGGGAGATGGTAATTGCACTTAAAATACAATCCAGACCATAATGCATCTCCCAGCTTTTCTCCACCTCATCCCACACTCCACCTTAGTCCTTAGCTCAGCCACACTGGCCTCTTTTCTCTTCCTCGAACATCCTCAAACTCCCTCTCCTCCTTTTTCCATCCCTGTTCCATATACCTGAAAAGTTCTTCTCCCAAATAGTCCAGTGGCTGCATCCATCTCATTATTCAAGTCTTTCCTGACCCCCTACCACCCCTCATTCAGAATACTCTTGATCATACCAATCCTGGAGTACTTACCCGAACCTGAAATAATCTTATTTGTTTTTTGACTTGTTTATTACTCATCTTTCCCTCCCAACTAGCAGGCAAGCCTTAGGAGGGCAGGGGTCCTATGTGTCCTATTCCTGCTAAATCTTTTGCTCCTGTAACAGTACCTGGTGCATGGGAGGAGCCTAACTGAGAGCTGATTAATGGACAAAGGCATAAATGGATTTTTCTGAACAAACTTTCCCTTTATCATTTTAAAACTTATTGATCTACACTTTTTCCCCCAAGAAGGCCCAGTATTTTTGCTGAAATCAGCTGAAAACCCTTTCTAATAGTGGTTCTCAACCAGGGGCAGCTCTATCCTCCAGGGATATTTGGTGATGTCTGCAGACATATTTGGTTGTTACATCTGGGAGTGAGAGGCATACTATTGGCCTCTAGTGGGCAGAGGTCACGGATGCTGCTAAATACCTCACAGTGCATAGGCTACCCCCATTCCCCACAAACAAAGAATCAGCTGGCCCAAAATATCAATAGTTCTGGGTTGTTAACTCTGCTAAGGGCTGAGAGTAACCCACCCTGTGAGAACTGCTGGCCAGAACAAATCCTATGTGAAGTTAACTCCATAAGTCACTGTGAGTAACTCACATGAGTCCATGTGAGTTAACTCCATGGCGTCCTGGAGATGTGGTGCTCTCCCCAAGGCTGTGAAATTTCCCCATAGACCCTGCCTGTGGATTGCATCCTGCAGACTTCCAGGGAGGAAGCATGTGCACCGCGAGAGAGCCACCAGACCCACACCAGGCAAGATCAACAATCCAGAGATGTTCCCATGTCTTCTAGGAAAGGACACAACCCAGAGGGCAGAGCTGCATTCGTAACTGGTTGTTATCAGCCAGCTGAGGCCCTGGCAGCCTTGAAGTAGCCAAGCATATAATGATGTGGATGTGAAAGCCCATACTGAAGGCCCTGAAGGTCCAGAACCATGGGGTTCTCACCTCCCAAAGCCCTTCCTAGTCATCAGGAGAGACCCTGTTTGCAAAATATTTACTCAAGGCTTAATTACTAATAAATCCCTGTGTGGAGCCATTCCATGGAGAGACTGCGCCACAGTGTGGTCTGGTAATCAATGCCGCATGCATGCACTCATCAGAGGGGACATATGGGTGGAGAGAGCAGGCCCAGGGACCACAGGAATCTCTCTCCTTCCTTCTGGGCTCCTCTCTAATGAGGGCCCTGTTGGCATGCTAATCAGTATGGGATCCCTGGAACTTAGGGAGAGCACTGCCCTGTTGAGTTCCTGCTCCTGTCTACCCAGACATGCTCAACCTTGTAGATTTCCTGCAGCCTGAAACATCAGCCCTGCTTCCAGCCAGTTGATGTCCTGAGCCTTGTTTTGAAGAAGGCTGAGGATTACCCCTGAACTGGCCTCGACCCACACAGGCCCACCATCCTGTGGCAGTCAGTGGGAATGGGCTCCCTAGGTACATTGTTCTATTTAACTCTCATCACAAGTAGGGGGTATGGTTTTATCTTTATTATTCTGTTGATAGAAAATACAACACTGAGGTTACTTGACTCTTCCCAAATCATATAGCTAGAAAACAGGAGAACGGGTCTACTCACCAATGAAATTAAACACTTTGTTTTTTGGCACACATGAGCCATGTACTGGAAATGGATTCCAATAGGGAGGAGAGGACAGATTTAAAAAGCAAATAATTATCACACCATACACAGGGGCTCATGACTGGGCTCTGCTCCATTCTTAAACCCAGTGTTCTTCTGTACCCCCTATACCGAACCATCCTTCATTGGTAATCCAGGTGGGAGATAGTAGTGACTTAGACCAGGGTGTACATGGTGCAGAGTCATCAGATTCTTGTAAGAAACAATCAATTCTTATATTATTAAAGTTACTCCAGATAAGGACAATAGGAGAAAAGAAATGTATAGTCTTATTTTATGTATTAATGTAGAAACAAAATCCTACACAAAATATTAGCAAACTAAAACCAACAGTGCATTAAAAATATACAAGGAACCCCTTGTAGATAAATAAGAAAAACAGCAACCTCAATAGAAAAATAGTCAAAGGATGTGGACATATAATTTATGAAAGAGGAAATCAAAAGCATCTGAGGAAATGCTCAAAATTATTACTAATCAAAGAAAGGCAAATACAAAATAAAGATAATGCCAAATATTGGTGGATACTTAGGGAGGGGAAGCCTTGGGCACTGCTCCCAGGAGAGCAGACGTACATGGGCATTCTGTAGAGTACAGCTGGTTCACTTAATTGAGTTCAATTAAGTAGATACACACTGCATGACTCAGCAATTCTATCCCTTGCTATGCAGTCCAAAGAAATCCTTACACAGCTCCCCAAGGGACATGCATATATAAAGTTTTTCACTGCAGCACTGGTTGAGGTGCCAGAAAGCTGGAGACAACCTGGCTGTCTGTCTTCTGTAGATTGGATAGGCAAATGTGGTGCGTGTACACAGCGGAGTATGGTGCAGCAGTTTAGAAACCACAGATTAGTTGTAGCCATAGCAACATGGATGAACTGTTTAAGAAATGGTAATTAGTGAGAAAGGTAAAATGCCAAAAGAAATCTATAGCTCAGTTAAAAAACGGAAATACATGCATACAAAACAACACTATTTTGCAAGAATACGTACAAACAGAAGCACAGAATGACATAGGGATGGTTTTCATCATTAGAAGGGAACCAGGAGTGGGGTGTATCTGTGAAAGTTCCAGCAGGAAGCAGGTGGCACCCCTAAATGAAGATAACTCAAGATAAGTGTATGTACAAAGGTGTGGGAGGGTGTAAGGAAACTCCCAGAGGTAGTATAGAAACCTGGAGTTACTGGAAGTAGAGCTGTTACTTCAACGCAGCCTGAAGGGAGGGAGGAGGGAACAGTTACTACAGGAATTCAAAGGGAAGAGAGAGTTCTTGCTCCAGGAGAGTGGTAGTGGCCTTCATGGTTGAGGGACCTAGCTAGGGACCTTGACCTCATCTCCTCTCTTCCTTGTCCAGCTAGAGCTCCCCATGGGCCAATCCAACAGAAAGCCAAAGGGCAAGGAAAGCCATTGATATAGCCACTGAAGCCTGCCTCTTGGACAGAAAGAAGTGTGAAGAAGTGTATTGGGGGATTGGGTCTGGAGGGACAAATGGCAGCTGTGTGACTAATGGGCTATGAGGAAAAAGGGTGCTAGTTAATAAAACAATCAAATAAGTATAAACATAGAGGGAGGGCAAATAAAGACAATTTTCTACCTAAGAGGAATCCAGGATCAGTGGTAAAAAAAAAAATGAATTTTTTAGACCACATATTGATATCCTACACTGTGTGTTTGACACAAGTAAATTTGTTTTCTATGTTCATATTTATCATATTTACCATAAAGTTTGTCAGTTAACATGTAAATGAAAACACCAGTGATCTCAAATAATAGTAAACTTTTGGAAATGTAACCTTCGAGTATGCACGTTTTTATTAGACTTTTCAGAAATAGTTACATAAATGGAATTTCTGAGCCAAGCTTTTATATAATCCTTGCAGACCTGCAGCATCCCCTGGGACCCTAGAGGTTTAGGGCCACAGTTTAAAAATTACTTTCTTGAATGAATGCATATCTCTCTGTGATTATCTAATCCAAGCCATCAATCTCCATAATGTCTCCTCTCTTCCAGCTCCGGCCTTTGATTAATCCAAATTTCTCCTAGTTTCTTTTATTACAGTGTATTAATGTTTAAAATACCATAGTCTATAAGAGTGCAATTAAGTGGCCTCTGGAAAATTCCACTCCTTCTTGCACTTGAATGATGAAGCTTCTGAAAATGACTTGACCATAATGTAATCAGAGGACAGGCCTTCTTCCCCCACAACCCCCACCCTTTCTCACAGTTGGATGTTAAATGTGGCACTTGTGAACATCACTGGAACTTGCGAGGTGAGGCACAATGAAGTCCAGGCTTTGAGATCGGCAGTGACTTCATGAGGCCTGAGGCAATGACAAAGAGCCCCCAGGTAAGGTGGCTTCCATTATGGGTGCTTTCCCCAGACCCTGCAGGGAGGGACCAGGCCTCAGTAAGGTCCACAGGCCAGCTTTCTGCTTTTTTTTTTTTTTTTTTGAGATGGAGTCTTGCTCTGTCGCCCAGGCTGGAGTGCAGTGGTGCGATCTCTGCTCACTGCAAACTCCGCCTCCCAGGTTCGTGGCATTCTCCTGCCTCAGCCTCCCAAGTAGCTGGGACCACAGGCGCCCACCACCATGCCTGGCTAATTTTTTGTGTTTTAGTAGAGACAGGGTTTCACTGTGTTAGCCAGGATGGTACCGATCTCCTGATCTCGTGATCCCCCCGCCTCGGCCTCCCAAAGTGCTAGGATTACAGGCGTGAGCCACCGTGCCCGGCCAGGCCAGCTTTCTTTAAAGCGAGAGTCTGGCAACAGACAAAACCAGCACATAGTTCAGACAAATGAAACACATTATCTGCATGCTCCACGTAGAGGAAAAGACTGTCCTGAGGCTTGGAAACCATGCCACACAGATTTCAGGAGGAGTAAAGGAGGCCTTGCAGTGGGATATCAGAAACACCAGGCTCTTTGAAGGCAAATATGAGTGGGCTTTAGGGACAGAGACAGAGTAGACAGGAGAGCAGCTTCACTGAAATGCTTGGACTTCTGAGACCAGAAGAACAAACTGGGATCCAAATTAGGATGGAAAGCAGGCTTGTGGAAGATTTGCTTCACCCCAGATTTGAGCGAGCACCACCTCTTCTACTAAAGGGGTAGCTGAGACATCTGGGCTTAGGACAGGTTTCTTGTGGACAATTTTATCCAGCTCACTTGACCGCTTCATGGTTTCTGAGTCTGTTTTCTGTGTTGTTTTTTCCTGGTTTCAGGGAAAAATTATCACTGTGCATTAGCATATTCAGTCTGCTGTAACAAAATATCGTAAACTGGGTGGCTTAGAAACAACATAAATTTATTTCTTACAGTTCTGGAGGCTGAAAAGTCTAAGATCGAGGTGCTGGCAGATTTGGTGTCTGGGGAGGCCCCATTTCCTGGTTCATTGATGGTGCCTCCTAGCTGTATCCTCATATGGCAAAAGGGGTGAGGCAGCTCTCTGGGGCTTCTATTATAAGGGTACTAGTCCATTCATGAGAACTTAGCCTCCAAGGGCTAATCATCTCCCAAAGGCGCCACCTTCTAATACCATCACATTGTGGGGGTTAGGATTTCAGCATATGAAATCATTTAGACTGAACCTTTGTAACCCTTAACATTTGTGGCTCCTTCCACAACCTGATGTTATATAGACAAGGAGATGGAAACTCCCAGAGGTCCTAGTAGTTTGATGCTGGAAGGCCCCACAGCACAAAACGCAGAAAGATCTAGGGATCTGGGGGCCTGACAGCAAACAGGCAAGGTTTGGCCTGACTGTGGAGACTGGCGGGATCTTCATGGGTACCATGGATGGTTCCTTAAGGTAAAGGAGAGTCCTGAGAGGAAGTGTCCAAGGCCAGCCGAGCTGGTTCTGCCTTCCCTGGCTTGGCTCAGTCACCAACCATAAGCCACTTAAACTGATGGTTAAGTGCACCTGTTGTCTTCAATGAGCACTGGCTGTGAAATTTTAATGTGTTAGTTGTTCCTAACCTTGTGGAGGATGGGGAGTTTCTATAACTCATAGCATACCTTGTGGAAATCATGGAACATTCAACTATTCACAGTGAATTTCATGTGGGAAAAGACCATGTCTGTACTGTGCCTTTAATCCTAGCACAGTGATTCGCACCTAGTATATGCTAACTAAATACTTGTGGAAGGAAGGAAGGAAGGAAGGAAGGAAGGAAGGAAGGAAGGAAGGAAGGAAGGAAGGAAGGAAGGAAGGGAGGGAGGGAGGGTTGGGTGTGGTGGCTCACGCCTATAATCACAGCACTTTGGGAGTCCAAGGCAGGCAGATCGCTTGAACCCAGGAATTCTAGACCAGCCTGGGTAACATCACGAGACCCACATCTCTACAAAAAAATACAAAGATAAGCCAGGTATGGTGGCATGTGCCTGTAGTCCTAGCTACTATGGAGGCTGAGGCAGGAGGATCACCTGAGCCCAGGAGGTTGAGGCTGCGGTGAGCCGTGATCACGCCACTACACTCCAGCCTGAGTGACAAAGTGAGATGCCATCTCAAAAACAAAAAACACACAAACCAATAAAAAAAAAGAAGAAAGAAGGAAAGAAAGGAAAGAAGGAAGGTAAGAGGGAAGGAAGGAGATGAGAAAGGGAAAGCAATTAAATCAGAAGTAACATTCTCCAGAAGTTATTTTCTAATCATATTTTATAGATTTCCTGTATTGGTTTGCTTTTGTGCTTAATCATATTGATTCATCAATACTTGCTAGCAAAACAATCAGTAGTAGGTAGGCAAAATTTTAAGAAAAGTTATGGAAAGAAAACTTAACACAAAAATTCCAGAGATCTGCTTTTATCACTTCATTTTTCCAATGCTCCATTTTGGTCTAGGTCAAAATGTTTTGTGGACGGAGTTGGCCAATGACTGCTCTCAGTAGATGACTTGGCAACTGAGTGAAGCCACTGCTGAATTGAAGTCTACAAATATTTACTCAACACCTGTGTTGTGTAAGGGAGGTGCATTGCTAGGGGTGTGGAGCTGATACCTCCCTTCCAGGAGTAAGTCTAGAAGTGGAAGGCAGCCTATGATTCTTCCTGAGTAAGCATCCATCTATCCTTCAGCTATCCTTCCTTCCATCCATTTTTTTAAAAAAACCCCATTCACCCATTTATTTATTCATTCATTCAACAAATACTCTTACAGTTACAGGCACAGTGCTGAACTCCAGGGATACAAATAATAATTAATCTAAATGAAGTAGGTGGAAGCTTGAGGTGATTCCAGAACAGGTGTTCTCAACCCAATGCACACTGACATCGCTTGAGAACTTTTACAAGCTCTGACGCCTGGCTCCCATGCCCAGAGGTTTCGATTTAGTTGCTGGGGGCTGAGGCCTGGGTATAGAGCTTTTTGAACACCCTCCAGCTGATTGGCTGAGCACTGTAACATGCAGCCAAGGTTGAGAAATGCTGCTTTGGAAGGATGAGTTTGACTTGGCTGATCAGATAAGGGGAGAAAAGATAGTCCAGAAACAAACAGATACAGGGGCACAAAAACACAATACAGCAAGTGTGGAAGACATAATGAAGAGTAGACATTGTTGGAGAATGAAGTATTAGCTGGGCACAGGAGATGCCAGCTGGTCTGCTACAATAGATGAGAATAAGGTGCACAGGGAGAGCCCAGGGAGGCTAATCCTCTAAGCCAGGAGGATTTGAAAAGACCACTTAGAGAAGGTTGCATTTAAGTCCCTCCCTTGAAGGACAGCTAGGATTTGACAGGTGGAGACTGAATGAAGTCTCTCCAGGGGGAAGGGACAGAAGAAATGGGCTAACCCTGTGCCATGTCTGGTATAGCTGGAGCCAGAGAAGTTCCTAGGTTAAGAGTGAGGTCTAAAGCAATAGGAAGGAAAATGTATGTGTCTGGTGTGTACTCTTTTGTTTTTGTTTCACAAGAAGAGTTGAACTATTTTTGATAATGAGCAAATGGTGGAAAATGCTTTTAAAAAAGATGGAAAGAGTGATGGGAAAGACCTAAGTTAGATCACAGGCTTAGGAATTTGGATTTTTAGCTTAAGGCAAGGCAGAGCCGTTGAAAGTTCGTATTTGGAGGAGGGAATGTCAAGATGATGTTTGAGATTTAGAACTATGCTGCTGCATGGAGGGTGGGTGGCAGGTGGAAGAGTCTGAAACGAGGCTAATGGATAATTTCTAGGCAGTAGACTTTGCATGTCTCTAGCGCAGTTAATGGGCACATTATTTTAGTCTAAATGAGTAAGAGACATTTTCTTACCCTTTAAAACTCAGAAGCTGATTTAAGTGAGGAGTCATTTCAAAGATCAATTTTCAAATTGTTGTTGGTGGAAAGCAGCTTATGGGGGTGGATATGAGGGCGACAGGGTGGAAACATAATTGGGTTGGTATGAAAAAGCTCACTGCCTAAAGAAAGCGAGCAGTTAGCAGAAGATGAGAATATAACTTCTGCACTACCTGTTCCAGGAAGGCAGGGGCCCTGGAGCTCACTGGTGCCTGCCCCTCAGCCCTCAGGCAGGACTGGGCACCGGGAGGAAACCCCCAGACAGCTGCCTGATCCCCACAAATATCTCAAAGTGGAAAACCAAAAGCAGACAAACTTCTACCCTTCCCTTTCCAGACTGAAATATTGAAAGAATGAACAAAGGGGAAATGGGTCTGCCCTGCCTCTAGGTCTGGGGGTGCTAAGCCCCTGACCCTGCAGGTTAGGCCCTGCTCTGTCCTGAGCCCACCCCGAGCAGGACAGGGGCCCTTTGGTAATAAACGCCCACAGAGGTGGGGAGGGTGTCTGGAATTTAGCTGGTGAGTGTAGGGCTGACATTTCACCAGATATGCTACTTGTTAAAACACTGAATGCTTTCTTAGGAATTGGAAAATTACTGCTAAGTCTAAAGGCTTTGCCTAAGCCAGGCTGTCCCGGCCCCTCCCCCTCCCCTGGGACCTCCTGAGACAACCCAGACTTCGTTCATGGTCTAACGACCAAAGGGTCAGTGTTCCTGGCGTAGTAGGGGGCTCCAGGCTCCTAGTCCAGCAGAGTTACCTGCTCAGGTGCCCCCATCTGCCTTACTGGTTGTGCATGTTTGAATATCAGCCTATGAGTGGGAGCCCAGGCCTCCCTCCTGAGAGCTTCCGTCTTGTCCTCTCGCTCCCCGCTGGATGGAAGCAGTCTCTGGAGCCAGAACCCTGACCCCTGCAGAGTCCTCCCTTGCCTCCTTTCCTGGAATCTGGCTCTGCCCGCACCCCACACTGCCAATGCCCCACCCACCATCCCCCATCACTGACCTGGATCTGGCTTTGAGTTTAATTGGCCCTCCCTTCTCCAGGTACCACTGCCAGACACAGTGATTACAGTATTGCTTCAGATCTAAAGTGTGACTTAGGCCTGGCTAACACTGTCTCAGAGCACACACTCGACCAGGTCTCCTGGTCAACCTCCCACCCATGGCTCTCCCCATCCAGGCTTCATCCAATCCTAGTTCTTGCTCCGACACCATCAGCTAGTGGCTGCTGGAATACCAGCATATCCAGCAGCTAAGTACTTCTGAGTGGGGACAAATGCAGTGTCATATAGGACAATCTCAGGTATCCACAGGTCATCTCAGTGTTGAGCAGGGGCCTGTCACTCAAGGCAGTTGATGAAAAACTGAGAGGCAGAATGGTTATGGCTGAGGCCTCGGTACTCATGCTACTACTTATGGGCTGGGTGACCTTGGGCAATTTACTGAACTTCTCTGAGCCTTGGTTTCCTCATGTGTAAAATGGGGGAAATTATGCTATCATGCCGAGGTTGAGATGAGCACTGAATAATATGTAAAGTACTTGGCAACTAAAGCTGTTCAATAAATGAGAGCTGTTATTATTTCTCATATTTCTTTTCTCTTCCTGTAGCTGCTAGGCCTGTGTTTCCAAGGTCCCATTCAGACCAAGACTCAGGAACAGCATATTGCTCTTTACTTCCCAACTCTACCCCAATACCAACAAAGGATTTCGGTTCAGGGTTTTAGCCCTCTGACTCTTTTCTCTCTTGGTCACCTTACTCATTAGACTCAAACTCTAGCCCCTGTCCAACCTGCTGGCCATGACAGGCATTGCTGAATGCTACCCAGTACCTTTCTTCCTCTCCTACTTATTAACCGATTCCTGCTTTTGGTCAGGGCAATAATATACCTAGCTAAAGTACTCACCTTCCCAGACTCCCTTGCAGGAGGGTTGGTCAAGTGTTTATCTAGCAGACACTTAAGTTGTACTTGCTACAGACAAAGCATGGTTCTTAGCACTTTACAATTTAGTTTCCATAATTTTTCTAGGAGGGAGGTGCTGTAATTCCTGTTTTATCTTTAAGAACACTGAGATACAGAGAGGTTAAGTAAGTAGGCTGAGAACACGCAACTATTAAATGGTGGAGCCAGGATTTGAACCCAGTCAGCTTTTAGAGTTAGTGCTTTTATCTATTATGCTTGGCTACTTCCAGCCAATACAGATTGGATTTCTGAGAAACTTCGTGCTTTGCTGACACGGCTGTTAACACCTTCTTGCTTCCTTTCTGCCTCTTTTTCTGGCTAGGAATGCTGATGGGAGGCACAAGGTAGAGCCACCGTGATCTTATGGCCATGAGGTGGCAGGTGTGATACAGCCTGGGACACGAGCTGCTGCACCTCCTCTGGGAGGCCTCCTTAGACTCCTTGTTATAGGGGATAGTCACCCCTTATTTAGTTGAGCTGCTGTGGTTGGGCTTCTGCAGCTGAATGATGAACCCTACCTCATACCCTGGCCCCCATCTCCCGCAAGGAGAATTGTCACATGGGCTCACTCACAACAGAAGATTTTTCAGGACACAGCCTGCTCCAGGCTCACATCCAATGGCCAGGGAGTGGCCCCTCAAGTGACCAGCTGCAGTGCTGTTCATCCATATGGCAAGCTGAGAGGCTGCGAGTATCATTACAGCCTTTCGCAAACTCACTCCAAGTTAGCCATCGGTGATGATAATGGACAGGCTCCATGAGACTTCTCTGACCTGGCCAAAAAGATGCTGGCTCTGTTCTCTTTGATGTGCTGGATCTGAATGTAAGAGGAGCATTGTATGGTGTGGGGAGGATCCATTTAAGCAAGATACAGATAATCAGAGAAAAATCAGGGAGATCAGCCAAATAGACCCTTAGCCAGGAAAATAGAATAGCTTCAAGCTTTGTCTCCTAATTACCTGGCAGGATGCCTAGCACATAGTGTCAGCTCCATACATTTCATTTATTCATTTGTTTCAATTTAGCGGTAGAGGAAGGGATTCATGTATGGACATGATAAACAAAACATAGTACAAAAAAAAAGAGTATAAAATCTCTCTCACTCTTGATTCTAGTTATCTTTCTGTTGCCAAATTTTTGTATATCTTTTCAAAAATAGCCTATGATTATGTAAGTTTAATCGGAGAGACTAGACTAGTCTTCACTAATGAATAAACCAAACAATAGTGACTCAAATTAAAAATAAACATGGTTTATTTCCCATTCGTACCACATGACCATTGTAAGTTGGTAGGATACACTGATTCTCCAAATTGCCAGTCACTATGCCAGAGGAAAAGAGACAACTGGAGGGTCCTGAGCAGCAATAAATACTCTAGCCTGCAAATGACATGCTTCACTTCTGCTCAAAACTCATTGGCCAGAATAAGTCACATGGCCCCTCCCAACCACAGTGGGAACAAGATGTCCAATCCAACCATGTGCTCAGAATGGGGAGATCCAGGGTGGTCTGGCGGATAGCACAATTGATGACACACGTAGTTTTGCATTTAGTTTTTGTTTTGTTTTATATTTTGAAAACAAAGTGCTTAGAACACTGCCAGGCTCATCCATGTTTGCTATGATCATTTTTTACCTGTATTATTTCATAGATTATAATGTATATTAAATATGATATTTTTACCTATAGAGCCTTCTTTTTCAATGGCTGTCTATTAAACGAGAGAATGGAATTTCAGCCCTGTTTTTTGTTTCCCTGGTGCTGCAGGAGAATAAAGAGGACAGGGAAGCTGTAGCTTAGGAACTCAGTAAATGCAGCACAGACACAGCACGGCAGACAGGCTAGGCCAGTTCAGGGGAGAAAGATGTGCGTATTGGACTTTCTGGCAAAATTCCTACACTTTGCCGAGCCTCAGGACCCGTCGCCAGCTCTGTGTTTGATGGCCTTCTGGGTCCACATAATGATGAGTACTACTGGGCTGACTTGTGTTTTGGGCTGACTTGTGTTTTTTGCCTGGGAAAGAACAGAAGTTGGCATGATACCAAAGCTCTCCCTGCCTCTTGGATCAAGTTCCTCCAACCATGCAGGACAACCACACAGAGCCCTTTAAAAGGCACTTGCGATGATTTAATTAAATCTGACAGAATTTCTGAAAAAGAAAAAAATACTAACTGGAGACCTCAACCTTATTTCCCATCTATTTTTTTTTTCCTGCTTCTAAAGGTTAACAGCAGAATTAACTCCTTCCTTAACCCTCAGAACTATATTCGGATTGAGCATCCCAAGAGAACACCCCTTTCTCTCCTTTTGAATGAACTTACTCCGTTTACTTTGCCAAAAGAGGAGAAAATATATGCAGGCAGCAATCTGTCATTGTCTGGGTAGAGAGCTTAGAATATCTCCCAGCATCAGTGTGAACCTCGGAAGCTAAAGCGCATTCAGGCTGGTATTTGATGGCAAAGCGTCTGCCACTTCAGCCTGCAATGGCCCTTGTCATCAGAATCTAACTCTGGGCATTACACAAGGGTTCGTGAACAGGGGTGTCCGAAGCCACCAGCGTGTGATGGTGGTAGTGGCCTTGGGACAACAAGCCTGCCTCCGAGTTGGTGGGCCATGTCTAGAGAAAAGGTTAGTGCTGAAATGACATGGGAACTAGACCATTTCTAAACTGGATTCAGCCTGGCTTCCACTTCCTGCCAGTGACTGGATTGTTATTAACAGGCTCATCTGAATGAGGAAGGCGGTGAGTAGGAAATTAGCACTGGGTGAACAACTTCATATGGAATTATCTCCCCTAGTTCCCATGTGAATTCTGAGTGTTCAGCCTTGTACTACCTAAGACAACAGTTTTGTTGAGGGATTTGACTATAGTCACATGACTTGTAAGCAGCAGGGCTCGAACCAGGGTCTTTTGACATCTTGTCCAGTGTTTTCTCCACTCTCCCTGTCCACCCCCTGCCCCTACTTCCCCAAGGCCTTCCCAAGACCCAGGGCGTTTTCATACAGCCCTGATGTCTCTGCTATGGTAGCTTTGCAAGATTTGCTCTTCCCTGCAAAGACTCCTCCCATTTGGTCCACTGTTCCTTCACTGAAAACCCCTGTAACTGTCCAGGACCAAATTCTCCCAGGACCTTGTTTTCTAAATCTAAGGGGATGATCAGGATTTTAAAGCCCCAAATTGGTGCTTATCAGTAGGCAGAAGAGAGGCACTGCTCTCACCTCCTAGTGGGAAAGATTAGAATCCCCAGGGCGTAGGGGAGAGAGGTGCAGATTGAAGAAATCGTCCGAATAATATTACTCTGCTGTTGGTCAGCATGATTTCTTATTTACTTTGAAATTCCAAATAACTCGAAAGAAGGCCATGAAATTTTTATATTTGTTAAAAGAGGACTTGCATTTGGAAATGCTGGAAAAATGTTGATATAACTACCATGAAGATTTGTGTGGTTTCTATTGGTATCTATATTTTAAAGGAGCCTTGGTGACATGGGCCAAACATTTCAAAATAAACCTCTAAAACAGGCTGTCTGGCTCCACTGGGGACAGTCTTTTGTCGGACTGGCTCTTCTCTCCTTTCCGGCCACACCATTAGTGGACACTCAGATCTCTGGATGAAGGTGTACAAGCTCCCGCTTTCTCACTAACAGCCTGCAAAGCCTTTACAAGTGGCAGGAGGGTCACTTCTGCAAATGTGGCCTCTCGTCTTTTATCCTCTCTCCTCATGAGAATTTTCAGAGCCAAAAGATCCCAGTGGTGGCAGAAGGCTGAAAAACTGGTGAAAATCAAGAAAGACTCAGAAAATATTCTGAACGAAAGATCTGTGTTCCAGGATGATATTGAGAAATATGTGGTTCCTCCCATGCCCTTTTCCCTGGAACCTTCTTCCCATTCCTGCCATGAGACAGGAGGAACCTGTGGCCTCAAGGAAGGGGTGGCCCAGAAGTCAGAAGACAAAGGCACCAAGTTCCTGGCTTTTAAAATAAAACAAACAAATGAAAAACTGCTGTCCACACCTAAGGGAAGAAGATTTGGTAGAATAACTACAACAGATAGTATTTTCCCCACCTGGGAGTTGAAAATATCTTTGAGTTGCAAGAGAAAGAAGAGTTGGAAATGAGGTGTGAGTGTGAGTGAGTGTGTGTGTGTGAGAGAGAGAGAGAGAAGGAAGGAAGGAGAGGTGTTGTAATTCTAAGATATACTTCAAGGATGGGACTGTGTTATGAGTTGAACTGTCTCCCAAAAAGATATGTTGACATCCTAACCCCTAGTACAAGTGATTGTGACCTTATTTAGAAATGGGGTCTTCCTGATGGAACCAAGTTAAGATGAGGCCGTGCTGGATTAGGGTGGACCCTAACCCAATGATTGGCGTTCCTATAAGAAGAGTAGGCTTGGACACAGAGACACAGATACAGGGAAAAGGCTGTATGAAGACAAAAGCAAAGATTGAAATGATATTTTCCTAAGTCTAAAAACCCCAAGAATTGCCACCAGCACCAGAAGCTAGAAGCAGCGAGCAAAGATCCCCTTCTTGCATGCTCAGAGAGCACGTGGTCCTGCTGATACCTTGATTTCAGACTTTGAGCCTCCAGAACTGGATAAATTTCTGTTGCTATGGTCACCCTGTTGGAGGCAATTGGTTACAGCAGCCCTAGGAAACTAATAGAGTCTGGGTCTCTGAAACAATGTAATTCTCAGAGGAATTTGGGGATCTGAGAGTACAGAGAAGCCCAGCGGTCAACTTCCTTGCACCATCATGGCATGGGGGTGATAAAGAAAAGTGGGCTGTCAGGGTCAGGGAGGCCTGAGAGTTGTCAGAGGGGTGTGGGAAGGAATACACATGTTCCCGTGTGCTCAAGAGGGGAGTCATCAGAGAGAACAGGCACTGGCGAGCTCATAGACATGATGGGGTTTGCATCAGCTCACGCTGGCTGAGTCCCTGCTCTGGGGAGCAGAGAGAAATACAGACACATCAGCAGATGCCTACTTGGGCAGACACTACTCATAAGGATTGGAGGGGGCTCATAGATAACATCCCTGTCTATAACCTAAGTTCAGAAATAATTGAGAGATAGAGAAGTTGGGCTGTCTTAAATCCAAGCACCACCTTTATAAGGGAGAAAGGTGAGATGGGAGGATGTGGCTGAGTTCAGTGGAAACAGTGGACCTACTAATAGGTACAGCACGCCAGGGTTCCATGGACTAACGTATTCATAGAAGTGCAAGCCAGCTGCAGCCCTTCTTTGGCAGGGGCAGAGGGGAGTGGGTGCTTTCTGTAGACAGATCTTAAAGAGAGGGAAACACAGAAAAATAAACCTGGCTCCTTTTAGATAAGTCATGGAGGCATGAGGAAAAGGACCTGGAGTACTACTCGACAGATATTTCTGCATCGAGAAACAAGGACTGGGGAATATGAGCTCTTTCTTTTTGCCTACCTGGAACTAATGATCCTGCATGGGGCTCCCTGAACTCTGATGTTACTCCTGGGAAAAGGGAGGGGACAGGGGAAATTCTGAACTGTCTGTGTTTAAACCTGAAGTGCAAAGATTTCCCAGTATTGGCTAAGATTGCATTTTCTGCCTTCAAGCAGAATGGGCTTCAAATAGAATTTGAGTTGTAGTAAAATAAAGATTCATCGTGTGCAAACCTGTGTTTTATGAACTGGGTTCAGACTTGCTGCATATGCAATAGAGAGCTATATGGGGGATACTGGGAGGAGAGCTAATCACAAACCCTGCCCTTCCAAATTTGCTAGCCACTTAGCCCTTGTTGGAATTACCGTACACATGGGGCAACAGTCACGCTGTGGTTCAGGGAGCCCTCCGAGCCCAGGGCTTTCCTTTCCCTTGGTGCCACAGTGGAGATGCTGACATGCTCGGTGGGAAGTTGAGAGGCTATCCTCCTGGTTCTTAGTGATACTGGAGGAAGTTTTCAGATTGCAAAGGCACTCTGCTGATGGATGCCAATAGCGGGTCAGAGGAGTGGGAATTCCTAAATACATCACCTCAACTTTATGGATAGTGCAAAGAGGTCAGGGTAGGAGTTGAGACTTACTTAAGGTTATGTGGTTGTCCAGAGCCCCAGCTGAGATTTGAATTCAGGTCTCTGTATACCCAGGAGGACCAAGATGCCTTTGCAGACTGGAAGCTTCTTAAGAGCAGGGCTATTCTGCATTTGCCTTTACAGACTGGAAGCTTCTTAAGAGCAGGGCTATTCTGCATTTGCCTTTACAATTCCCATACACCCACTGCCTGCATCAGTGCTTGCCTAGGTGGAAGCAGCCTAGTTGTAAATAACGTTAATGCACCCAGAAGTCTGTTTTTCCAGAAGCAGGTGGCAAGCAGTCTTTTATAGTAGGGGCCTCAGCAGAAAATCATAGAGGTTTGTGTCCACTCATATTTCTAACTCCATTGGGAACTTTGTTTCTGCTATTCTTCAGTCTCCCCTCTTGGTACACAGCAGTTTGTCCCTACCACCTGCTCCACATGGGCACAGAGACCTTTAGGAAGCCTCTGCTGCTCATGCTGGCAGTCCCCCAGTGCTGGGGCACATTCATCTATGCTCACCCTCCAATTCTCCACCTCAAAGTGAGTTCCTCATGCCAGACAGAGCATACGATGGAAGAATTAGTCAAGGGCTGTAATCATTTGCAAAACTGACAACTTTTTCCCTCCAGAAAGACACAAAAGAGTCTAATAGAGTGTTTTTTTCTTCCTTGGCCCTTGAAATAAACTCTGGCTTCTGTGTACATTTATTTGGTTTGTACCAGGAGCCTGGTTAAACTTATACTTTGTTTATGCTTCTAATACAGTTTAACTAGCATTTATGGAGGGCTTGCTTTGTGCTAGATCCTCATAGGGCCAAACAGCTGAACAGTTCTACTCTGAATCCCACCCGCAAATGCAGGGGAAGCCTTCTGCATGCAATGCCACCTTCTCCACCCTCCCATTCCCCACTCCTCCCTTCACAGAGCAGAGCACGGGGGCCATGGCAGGTACCAGAGAGGAGAAAGAAACAGCCGGCCAGAGCCCATGTCATGTGGGGATTCCTGGTGGTAGCTCTAGTAGCTGCATCTATTATTGGCCCCCAAAAGGAAAAAAAAAAGATTAGTGTCACTCTGGCTAAAAAAAAAATATGTATTTTCATAGATGGCTTTTCCCAAACTGAGATGAGAGATCAGACTCCAAAAGCAAGATGAATCTCAAACAGATGGATTTTGTCCAAAAACATTTCCATCAGCTTCTGGTTAATAGCATTTACCCAAGGAATAAGAAGGAACAAATATTTTAAAATTTCTTTCTAGATTCTTCATGCATAGCGTTTTTATTGCTATTTGGATAAAATTATACTGTATATTCCAAATGTCATGTTCTGTTTCTATTCCTTAGTTATGCATTTGCGAGCACTTTCCACATTTACCAGTCTTCATAACTACCTTTTAAAAGCCGATTGTAGGATTATTAGGTTGTCTTAAATTTTTCAGGAAAATAAATAAAATGATTAAACACAGCTTTGTGCATAAAGCTCTTCTTCTCTAAATTTGCCTTTTAATTTTGTATCTGTGGATTTTTCAGTATGCAAGAGTATTATACTTTAGTTTGTCACACCTACCAATCTAGACTCCTATAATTCCTACTCTTGGTGTCCATTAGCGCTGCTCCAAGGGATCCAAAACCACCTGGGCACAGAGACCAATGGAAGCTGTGGCCCACCTCGTTTTAGTTTACCTGGTGGTTCGTTGCTAAAGCCGTCTTGAACACAGTGTATTTGCGGCAGAAGTTCCTGTATAGGTCTCAAATATGCTGGTTTCTTATCTTGACTTTCAGATATCTTGGGGAGTTAGGCATGTTCTGTCAGAAAATGAGCTACTGAAGTTTTTCCTTCCATCTCCTTGCTCTTGGGGCCCTGGTGGAGAGCCCACCCATTTTTGGGCTATCTCTCCGCTGGTTTTCCATTGCCCTTTTCCAAATCTCACCCTGCTTATCACTGCATCTTCTTTTTGCCTTTAGGGGATGCTCTTCTTCTTCAGCTCCCTTGACGCACTCACTCTCCAAGGTGCTCCTTCTAGTGGGAGATTTTAGGGGCACTGAACCAGGCGAATGTTTTTATTCTGACATGTGATGGGGACATTGCTGCAGAGATTGCATAGGTGCCAAGTCATTTGCTAGGATCCCGTTCTCTCAACTCTCAGCTCCGATAACTGCCACGGTATGTTTCCTGTGGGAAGCATTCCCTTAGGTTACATCTCTGAGGGCTGGGGCACAGCTGTTGTGGTCACCGTCCTGCTTACAGTTCTCTGGATCCCTATTAGCTGAGGGATATAATCCAAAGCCTTCCTTCTGACCCTCCAGGTCGGGCCCTAGCTAACTCTTCTAAGCCCCCTCTTCTGCGGCTTTCCCCGCTCACATCCTGCACCTAGCAGCTGCAGCACGTGGTCCATTCTCACATGAGCAGAATGACAAGACAGCAGGGTGGAGACACGGAAGCCACGCGCTGAGATTTCACTCTTGAGATCTCAATGTGGGATCCAGGTCCTAGCAACTGAAACCTTAGAGCATTCCAAAAATGGATAAAAAGGCAACATACTCAATTAAAACAAAAGCAAAACCCCATAAATTGGTATTGTTTAATTTATGGGCCACTTACAATCCAAATAATTTTTTTTAATCAAATTGCCTGGTTTAAGAAATCCTGATATCTTCTTTTAAAAAGCTTTCATTTTCTCACTCCTGTCAACCTGTGCCCCTGCTGTTCTCTCTGGGCTACACTCTTCCAACCCATAGAAGCCTGACTTGCTTCTGAGATGGCACATCTTATGCTGTATTTAATTATTTAGGTAGTTTTCACATTTACTAGGTCATCATATTCAGAAGGGCAGAGTCCCTGCCTCCCATGACCTGTAGCACCAGTGCTAGCCCAAGATATGGCCCAGTTGTTGAGTGAATACTGAAACTAATACAAGGGAAAAAGGGAGGCTCTGTAGAGAATAAACACATAATTAATGTGATAAAATAGGGAATAATCTAGGAGGTAAGTCTAAGTGTACTGTGCCTTATCAAGCATTTTTTAGCATACTTGGCTTGTACTGCTAACATTCTAAAGGGAGGAGGCAGTATTTGCTCTGACACTCATGGTACCTTGAAGTGGGATTAGAAAAGACAAGAGGGCAGGCAGCTAGCAGATCCTTTCAAATTCTTTTCCCATCATCAACGCCTAACATGAAAGCTGTAGGGAAGGTACACAGATGGAATTTAAGCTCCTCCCACATTTGACCTTCCAGTGTATGAACAGTTATCATACCTTGAGAGACTCAATTTGGTAAATCATGACTGCAAGAATCTCTCAAAATAGCCACAGATATTGGCACAGTGCCTACACATACACCATTTTATCCTTGAAACCTCTCTGGAAGGTTGGAAGGGCATGTTTTGTTATTATTCTAATCTCCGTTTTACAAATGAAGAAACATGCTTGCAGATTATTAAGAAAGTGGCTGAAAAACATACAGCAAAGAAGTGCAAAGTCAAGATCTGAACTTGAATCTCTCAGACTCCAGATCTATTTACTACCTACTGGTGGTTAAGAGACAGTAAAGAGAAATATGAATCTTCATCCACATGACTAACTTTGTGTTGATTTTTAAGTGTGCTTGGTTCTTTGGCCAATGGATATTTGTTACCATGTGAGTCTCTCTCAGGACTTTCTCTTCCTCTTGTAGATTAAATGGGATATTGTGTGTCACGTGTCCAGCGGAGAGCCCTGGCACCCATAAGCGCTCTTGTACAAGTTATCTCTGAATTCTGGAAAGGCAGGAGGGAGGAGGCAAATGCCCCGCACATTCACATCCCTTCCTTGTCCTCTAACCAGGTTGACCATGAGGGATAATAATTGGCTCCAACTTTGACTTGAAAGACCTTATTAACTGAAAAATCTGTCCTGGCTGCCAAATGCAAGACCTCTTGGGATTGAGGGCCTTTTCTCTTTCTTCCCTAAGGCCAAGTGTAAGCCTCAGAAGCCTGTAGTTGGGGTTTGTAATGGTAAAGGTGCACTCTGAAGCCCATTGCTAACAGGATTGGGGAGAAAAATCTCGGTGACACCCAGATTGCTGGAAGCCTGGCAGTGGGTGGCTGTGTAAGTCCTTTGAGTGGATTAGGAGTGACATCAAACCTATGTGTGTGTCAGTTTAATCACTGTTTTTATTATAACAACTCTAATGGAAAATTTAAAGACTAAAATACATCGCTTCTAATCCCGCGACTCTCTGAAATTGATTTCATTTTATAAACTGCTTTTCTGCCCTTGTCTATTTGCATATATGTATGCAAACACATACACAAATCTGCATATTTATGCGCACGATTTTACTTTTAGTTGACCTACAAAATAGATTTTGGTTTCCAAGATTAACATTAGAATATAGATCTCTAATGCTACATATTTTTCATAATTTTCATTTTAATAAGTACAAGCCATTTCTTCAAGATGGTAGATTATACTTTGCTTAACTGCTTCTTTTACTTTGCAGACTTTAGGGTGTTTTCATTTTTCTTAATGTTATAAGCAAAACTTCAGTAAATATATATGTGCAGATAACCTTTTTAGGAATCATTGCCTTCAGGAAAATTCCCAGGAGTGAGGTTTCTGGGAAGCAGCAATCTGTTAAAATGCTGGCTCTGGAGTCAGGCAGATGTAAATTCAAATCCCAGTTCTACTGTTTACTAGGAATATCACTCTAGCTGTGTCACCTAACTTTCATCCTTCATCTGATGATGCATGTCAGTCAGATATTGCTGCCTAACAAGCAAGCACAAAATAAAAGTGGCATGCAACAATAGGCATTTGTTGGCGTATACATCTGTGGGCTGGCTGGGGTTCGTCTGATGTAGACTGGGCTCTATTCAGTGAACTGCTTCTTACTGCAGGTCTGTGGGTTGTTGTAATGCTTCTGTGCCATTTGTCTCTCATCGTCTTCCTGGTTTCAGGCATATTCTCCTCATGCTACCGGCACATATGCGGGAAAATAAGCCCACATGCACATGCATTTTTCAAGTCTCTGGTCATATCACATCTGGTAACATTTCCATTGGCCAAAGCAAGTCATGTGGCCAAACAGAAAGTGGTGGGGCAGGAAAATCAGTTCTGATCCTTTGATGGAAAGAACTTCAGGTACAAGTCAAAAGGAATGGATACAGAAGGCAGTTAAAAATTGGGGAACATTAATGTGATCCACCAGAGTGCGCCTGCAGAGTTGTTGTGAAGACAGGATGATTTTCAGTGGTCAGTAAATACTGTGTTTAGAAGAGGAGGGGTTCATTTCTGTTTTTATTTCTTCGTTTCTTCCCTAAGCTTCTTATGGTTCTTGGGACACAATAAATATTTGGCAAATTATTTTTGCTATTGCATAAATGTGGCTATTACTATTTGTCTTAAGGATAAAGGACCCTCATCTTACCCCCTACTGCCTACCATATATGGTTACACTCCACTTTGCTGTGTTCCTCCAACACTTTGCCCAAAACTACAATGGCATTTATCACATCCTATCATATTTAATGGTTTCAACATCTGCCTTTTCTACTAAATAAGCTGCAGAAGAGCAGGGGCTGTGGCTTACTCATCTCTGCTGTCCCGGAGCCTAGCACAACACCATGTTCCTAAGTGCTGAGATGAAGAAATAAATCAGCACTCTCAATATTTTATGTCTTCCTTTTCTTTCCTCATCTTGGTCATGTTTATCTTCTTGAATATATAGAACATGACAGTAAAAGTTATTTTAGTGTCCTTGTCTCTTATTTCCATAATCTCTATGATTTCCAGGTCTTTCTTTCTTGATTGATTTTTTTCCTATGGCTATAGGTCATATTTTCCTTTGCATATCTGGTAAATTTCTTTGCATATCTGGTATTTTTTGTTGTTGTTTGTTTGTTTGTTTTGACAGGGTCTTGGTCTGTCACCCAGCCTGGAGTGCAGTGGTGGGTTCACAGCTCACTGCAGCCTCAACCTATGGGCTCGCGCGATCTTCCTATCTCAGCCTTCCAAGTAGCTGGGACTACAGGCATGCACCACCACACCTGGGCTGTCTGGTAAGTTTTTATTAGATGCTGGATATTGTGATTTTTATGTTCTTGATGGCTAGATTTTGTTGTATTCCTTCAGAAAGTATTGAATTTTGTTTTGGCATGCAGTTAAATTCTTTGGAATCTTCTTAGTCCTTTGGGGCTTGCTTTTACATTTTGTTAGGTCTGGCTCAGGGCAGCCTTTATTCTAGGGCCAATTTGCCCCCACTATTAAGTCCATGCATTTCTGAGGATTTTACCCATTATCACGTGCATTAAAAGCTCTTCCACCTTGGCTAGTGGGAACACAAACCATACCCAGCCATGTGTGAGCCCTGGAATTGTTCTGTGTATTCCTTTCTGATGGTTCTTTTTCCAGTCCCAGGTGGTTTCCCCTTAAGCATGTGTAGATCAGTACTCAGCTGGGCTCAGGACGCTTTCTGCATAGACTTGTGCTGCCTCCCCATAATTCCAGCAGCCCTGCCCTCACTGGATCCTCTGCTCCATCTCCTCACCTCAGGGAGACTTCCTGACTCTACTTGGGTGTCCCTTTCCTGTGCTGCAGCCTAGAAAATGCCTCCAGCAGTAACCTGAGCAACCGTAGGGCTAACCTCAGTTGTTTCTTTCTCTCGGGGATGACAGTCCTTAGCTGTCGGATGACAATAGTGTTGTTTTTGATATATTTGTCTGGTTTTCTAGTTGCGTGAGTAGGATCAGTCTACTTCCGGTTATTCAGTATCAGGTGGAATTGGGTCTAACTTTGGCTGTTGCTCTGTTTTGGGGCGGTTTTAGCTTGTAAGAGAGCTCTGCTCTCACCTGGTCAGGCCCTTGATACCACCAGCTTTGTATCTCTCTGACACTCCAGACCAGGGTTTCTTAAGCAGGACACCACTGAAATTTTGGGCTGGAAAGTTCTTTGTTGTGAGGAGTGGTCTTGTGAATTTAGAACATTTAGCAACATCTATGGCCTCTACCCATTAGACGCCAAAAACACAGCCCCCACCCATGTGACAATCAAAATATCCTTAGACATTGCCAAATGTCTCCTGGGGGCCTAAATCATCTCCAGTTAAGAACCACTGGACTAGGCTCTCCAGCTGGTGGCAGAGCCCTCACTTACAGCTTCCCTGTGGCAGGGGTCTTTCTACTCTCTCATGTACACAGACGTGCTCTTCCAGCCAAGCATTCACCTCACCAGGAAGATGTCTCATTGGTCAACATCGCCAGTGATTTTAGGACTTTAAATGCCTTTTGTTCCCATGACTTTGAACACAGCAGGAAGACTCCGAACCTGAAGAGTGAGCTCATCACTTAGATGTCGGTGTAAGGTGAGGGGCAGGTGATGGAAAGGGTTCATTTTCTCAGTTGGAATGTCTTCTGCTGGGTACCTCATAATGAAAGCATCAATACATATGATGGAGATGGAATTCTCGGTGCTTTCTACATGTTTTGTGATAACAACACAGTGATTGAGAACTGGTCCCTGTAATTTGTATCTGGAAAATATGTCATTAGTGCTAAGAAAAACGTATTTATGAGACTATTCTAGAGACCAGTCCTCTATTAAAATGAATCAATATTTGGCAGGCCGAGGCAGGCAGATCATGAGGTCAAGAGATTGAGACCATCCTGGCCAACATGGTGAAACCCCATGTCTACTAAAAATACAAAAATTAACTGGGTGTGGTGGCGCAGGCCTGTGGTCCCAGCTACTCGGGAGGCTGAAGGACAGAATCGCTTGAACCTGGGAGGTGGAAGTTGCAATGAGCTGAGATGGCACCACTGCACTCCAGCCTGGTGACAGAGCAAGACTCCATCTGAAAAAAAAAAAAAAAAAAAAAAAAGGATCAATAAATAGAACCATTGCCATAAATATGAGGGCAAGTAGGAATATTGCCACTAGTTAATAAAACTTGAGGAACATCAACCGCTATTGACTACTAAGTAGAAACTGAAATCTTTTAATGAGCAGCCTCACGCATGTTTCTGTGTCTTTAATTTATTAGATAGTTAATTTTTTCTTTGTATCTGAAAAGTTACATAATTAATCTATTTTTATTGAAAAAATTAGAAAGTCTAAATAAACAAAAAGAAAAGGACCATAAAACAACCACTAGATGTAACCATTATTATCCCCTTGATGTACACCCTTACAAGCAACTTTTCTTTCTTTCCTTCTCTAGATCCTGGTTTATATATCCCTATATATCTATATATCTATCCCTATGTATCTTTTTTTAAAAAATTGAGATCATGCTGTTATAAGTTCTTTTTTTTTTTGGAGATGGAGTCTCACTCTGTTACCCAGGCTGGAGTGCAGTGGTGTGATCTTGGCTCACTGCAACTTCCGCCTCCCAGGTTCAAGCAATTCTACCTCAGCCTCCTGAGTAGCTGGGATTACAGGCGCGTGCCACCACACCTGGCTAAATTTTTGTATTTTAGTAGAGACAGGGTTTCACCGTGTTGCCCAGGCTGGTCTCGAACTCTTGAGCTCAGGCAATCCACCTGCCTTGGCCTCCCAAAGTGCTGGGATTATGGGCGTGAGCCACTGCGCCTGGCCCATGCTGTTATGAGTTCTTGTAACCTGTTTTTTTTTAATACATAACATTATATCATGCACATCTTTCTATATTAATAAATACACAGCTATGTAATGTTTAAAATGGGTGCATGGTATTCCGTTGAATGAATGGACCATACTTTAATCAATCTGCAATTACTAGTGCTCATACGTGTTCTGAATTTTATCTTTATAAGCGAGACAGTGATGGACACTTATTTGTATACATCCCCATGTGCTTTTCTAACAATTTTTCATAGACACCCAAGTCTGATCTCTGTTTATTTCTGGAATAAGGTACATTATAAGGCACACTCCTTTTTTAATTTTATATATATTTTTATTGGAACACAATTAGATTTTGTACATTGATCTCAAATGCTATGACCTTTACATAAGCATACTGTGGGAAATAGTTTTATTGCTTTCTTTTCAATTTTTACTGAATATTTTTTTCATATAGTGTGCTGGCTAGGATTTCCAATACAAGATAAATGTTTGAAGCAAAACGTCGTGGCTTTGTTTCTAACCTTAGGAGAAAGCATTCATTCTTGCATGATTTCCATGATACTAACTGTAAACTTTTCATAGATCACTTTTCAAGGTTGAGAAGGTTTCATTCTATTTCTAGTTTTGTGAGTTTTTATCATGAATGGGTGCTGAACTTTGTCACGTTTTTTTCTGGGTCTAGCAAGGTGATACGATTTTCCTGGTAAATATTCTCATTCTTTTACTTTTAATCCAATTGCTTATATATAAAACATATTCCTGTAAACAGCATAAAATTATATATTGCTTTTGTGATGTAGGCTGATAATTTCTGCTTTTTAATTTGAGTTCTTAGTCCATTTACATTTAATGCCATATTGATATGGTTACCTAACCATACCAATGGCTCACTGTATTGCTATTAGTATTTTTTGATTATTATTGTTATACTTTAAGTTCTGGGATACATGTGCAGAACATGCAGGTTTGTTACATAGGTATACATGTGCCATGGTGGTTTGCTGCACCCATCAACTTGTCATCTACATTAGGTATTTCTCCTAATGCCATCCCTCCCCTAGCCCCCCACCCCCTGACAGGCCCCTGTGTGTGATGTTCCCCTCCCTGTGTCCATGTGTTCTCATTGTTCAGCTCCCACTTATGAGTGAGGACATGTGGTGTTTGGTTTTCTGTTTTTGTGTTGGTTTGCTGAGAATGACGGTTTCCAGCTTCATCCCTGTCTCTGCAAAGGACATGAACTCATCCTTTTTTATGGCTGCATAGTATTCCATGGTGTACATGTGCCACATTTTCTTTATCCAGTCTATCATTGATGGGAATTTGGGTTGGTTCCAAGTCTTTGCTATTGTGAACAGTGCCGCAATAAACATACGGGCACAGTCCTTTTAAAATAGGTTCTGAATTAGTGTCATGATAAACCTGTTTTACTTATTGATGGTGAGAAAGGAAGTTTGTGAATGTGGCCCAAGTGTCAGGAAACTCTGAGAAGCTCCCTTTGCCTCAGGATGCCAACAATGATGTACTTTAAAAAAATCCTGTATTCCAAATGGAGTTTTCAACTTTGTCTTCAGTTTGTTTGTTATGAAAGTAATACATGGGAATTTCAAAAAATGGAAAACAGAAAACACAACAGTCACTCACTATATTCATTTTCTATTGCTATGTAACAAATTACCCCAGACTTAGCTTAAAATAGGCCAAGTGTGCTGGCTCACACCTGTAATCCCAGCACTTTGGGAGGCTGAGGCAGGAAGATTGCTTGAGCCCAGGAGTTCGAGACTGGCCTGAGCAACATGGTGAAACCTCAACCTCTGTAAAAAATAAAGAAAAAAAAAAAAATTAGCCGGGCCTGGTGGTGTGCACCTGTGGTTCCAGCTACTTGGGAGGCTGTGGCAGGAGGATCACATGAGACCAGAAAGTTGAGGCTGTGGTGACCCATGTTCATGCCACTGCACTCCAGCCTGGCCAGCAGAGTGAGACCCTGCCTCAAAAGAACAAACCAAAACAAAATTTTAAAAACTGTTAGCTTAAGACAATACACATTGGCTATCTCCATTTCTGTGTTCAGGAGTCTGGGTGCAGCTTAGCTGAATCCTCTGCTCAGTCTGGCTCATGCTTTACTCCAGGCTCACAGGAGCTCTCTGATTTCTTTCATCTCCCATTGCTAGACCCCTTCTAGGCGCTCACCTGAGTAGGTCCGATCTGCCCAGGGTAATCTTCCTTTTGATTAACTCAGCTGATTACAGGTCTTAATTACATGTCCAAAAATCCCTTTTGCCATATAATATAACATAAGCATAGAGTGATATCCCGTCACATTTACAAGCCCTGCCCACCCTCGAGAGAAGGGGAATTTACAGGGAACATACACCAGGTGGTGGGAATCATGGGAGTCACCTTAGAATTCTGTCTATCACATCCATAGTGCTAACTGCCTAAGAAAACCAGTCTTCATATTCTGGTTATGGTTCCAGATTTTTGTCACCCCTCTGTTTAGGTATTTATTGTTTTTTTTTTTGTTGTTTGTTTGTTTTTTTTGTTTGTTTTCTTTTTTGAGATGGAGTCTCGCTCTGTCATGCAGGCTGGAGTGCAGTGGCGCAACCTCAGCTCACTGCAACCTCCGCCTCCCGGGTTCAAGCAATTCTCTGCCTCAGCCTCCCGAGTAGCTGGGATTACAGGTGCCTGCCACCACGCTTGGCTAATTTTTTTGGATTTTTAGCAGAGACATGGTTTCACCATGTTGGCCAGGCTGGTCTTGAACTCCTGACCTCATGATCCACCTGCCTCAGCCTCCCAAAGTGCTGGGATTACAGGCATGAGCCACCGCACCCAGCCTTATTGTTTTTTAAAGTTGTATTTATAGTGCCTTCAACACCATTGAATTATTTATTCTCTTCATATTAATATGCCAACGCAAAATTTTGGTAAGCATCATTTGAAAGTTTGGGTTGATATTTGTTATGGCATGGTGTTTGTATCCTCTCAAAATTCACATATTGAAGCCCTAATTCCCAGGGTGATGGTACTAGGTGGGACCTTTGGATGGTATATGAGGTCATGAGGGTGGGGCCACCTTGATGGGATTAGTGTTCTTATAAGAAAAGGAAAATATATCGGAGATTCCTCTTTCCACTTGTGTGAGAATACATAGCAAGAAGGTAGTTGTCTGCAAGCCAGGAGGAAGGCCCTCACCAATAACTGAATCTGTTGGCTCCGTGATCTTGGACTTCGTAGTCTCCAGAACAGTGAGAAATAATGTCTATTCTTTAAGCCATCCAGTCTACAGTATTTTATTATAGCAGCCCAAGCTGGCTAAGACAATATTATGAATGGAATTTCCACCCCCCCATTACGTTTTCTAAATTAACTATTGCTATTGCCTAGGTTTTAAGTTTTCCACTTGATTCTTTTGTCATTGATTCCTCCTCGCGGGTGCCAGGGAACATAGAGGTGGTGGCTTTCTATTCCTTTTTCCTATTCTTTTTATAAAGGAGAATGGAAGCCCTAGAATAGATGAAGGATGGCTTCTCTGAGATAGACTTTCTTTCACTGATGAAATATGTATGATGACACGTTGCCTAGCAATGGTCACCAGCTCTGCCTGCATATGCAAGAAGGAAACTCAAGGGGGCATTTCCCTTGGAGACACAGCAAAGACAAAAATCAGCTTAACGAACACAGCGTCTGCTTCCTTGATGAAATTCCTCCTAGTTTCAGGCAAGGAAAATGTTTACTGGTGAAATGGTGGCGTTGGCTAGAATAATTTAACAGCTGGGTGAGAGTAGAGCAGGAGGGAGGCTCTAAAGAGATAAAAGCAGGCAGATTGTCAGGAAGCACTTATCTATCATGTAACAAAATGTTTTATTTTTTGTCACTGTCCGCTGATGTGTATCCTGACAACACTGTCCTTGTTCCCGTCCTCTTCCCCAATTGTGGCTGTCAAACTGGTGGGCTCATTAAAGTAAACCAGGCCTCCTGGGTTGAGGTCCCTGAATTTAGGACCTATTTTTTTTTTTCGGGTGTGTTGACTTCCAGGTATTAATTAGAACATTCCACAAAGAAGGGGGACTAAAATGTATTATGTTAGAATGTAATTCTCTTTACAAGAAGGGTGTTCAAAGAGTATATTTGCTTCCTCAGAAGTCATTTTTCTCTTCCCTGGGTTATCATCAAACCACAGAATGCTGAATTAGAAGGAACTGTGAAATCATTACGATGAGGCCCAACTCACTCGCTCTTTGTCTCTTTCCCTTCCTTCCTTCCTTTTTCTTTCTTTCTCTTTCTCTCTCTCTTCCCCTCCCTCCCTACCTCCCTCCCCCTCTCTCTCTCTTTCTCTTTCTCTCTTTCCTCTCTCTCTCTCTCTCTCTCTCCATTTGTAATCACCAGGGACATTCTTCCCTCTCTCCCCAAACCCCATATTTTGAAACTGGAAGCACTACATTGAGGAAATATAATTGCAGGTAAAAGCAAAGAAATGTAACATCTTCATCAATGTGTGCAGCCTTAACATGAGTGTGTGATTTCTACTAGACATTTTGCAATATTGAAAGGCACTCGGTGATCTCATAATTCCCTTTGTGGATGTCAAGGAACAAAGCATCCCAAGTTAGAAATCATGCATCCAATGTATCCTCCTCATTTTCCGGATGAGGAAGGGGAACTCCCCAAACTAAATTACCCAAAAGGGCATGTGAGTACTAAGGGAAGCTGGGGCAGCCACGTGGAAACGTGATCAGAGGAGTGGATCCCCGCTGTGAATGCACATTAGAATCATCTGACAAGCTTCTAAAAATACAGACACCTGGATTCAGAGATACTGATAGAGTTGGTCTGGGTTGGGGTTGGGGAATCTGATTCTAATGTGTAGCTGAGGTTAGAGAGATTACAAATGAGTTCAAGCCTTGAGTCACTGAACCCTGATCTTCTTTTAAGAGCTCTGTTCTCCCCCATCCCTACCCCGTTCAATTTGCCTTGCTAATAGAGGGAGGGCTTCACTTCAGCAATGATGAGAGCTCAAGCTGGGCTTTCATAGGAAGGGAGGAAATCCTAGTTGTTTATGAGGACCACACTGAAGACTTTGCAGAGACCTTGTGAATAGAAGGTAGTTATAAGCAGAAGTATACATGGCCAGGAGGGGCGCAACAAGGAGATTCACAAGCTGTCTGACACTGGACACATTGCAAAAATCTCCAGAGGTCAATTTGCTCATCCGTCAAAATGGGTCTTAGCATATACGGATCTTGCTAGATAAGAATCGTAATAGGGAATGGGGGAGATGGTGGCAACCTGGGGACTTGGTGCTCCTCCTGCAGAGGGTGGCTTATTGCTGTCCTGCAATAATAGGAACCTGGTACTGGAAGATGTCCTAATTCTTCCAGGTAAGCCAGAAATCCAGATTTTATGTAAAATCTCCTGAGTTTTAAAGTTGGGAAACACCTCCAAATGTTTTAAATGCACTGCTGGAGACAGCCTCAGTGGGGTGGGACTCAGCTCTAGGAAAAGCAGAGTGATTTCTGACCCATCTTATTTCTCAGATCCCTTCCAGATCTAACTTCCTAGGAATCCTTGATTGGGTTATGTTTCTATGAGAGTTGTACCAACTGACAAACCCTGGGAAGCACGTTTGGTAGCTACTGCTCCTTTACAGTTGAAAAGCTTATTTTGCCTTGGTCTTTGCCAGTCCCACCTGCTGCAGCCTGCTTGCTCTTAAGCATCCATGAACAGCAGAGACCAGGTACAGCCAAGGGTGCAGGGCACGTTTCTGATCTCCTGTGAGCCTCAGCATCTCCTAGCTCTGAAATGGGGACCGCAGCTCGAGAACTGTGAGCAGAGGCTCCGGGTAAGCCGGAGCTGCATGCTTGCCAAGAGCCCAGACAGTTGCTCCTGAAGGTTAGGGATTGCCCAGCCGTCGATGTGGGGTCCTCTCCCCGGAGCTGAGGTCAGAAGATGATTTCACTAGGTTAAATTGCCTGTCACTGGACCTGAGTACAAATCTAGATTCCCCTCCACCCTCTCCCAGCTGAATTAGGCTTCTAAAAATACCTCCAACAGCAGCATACTCCATCTGACTGGCTTGATAAGTTACAATCTTCAAAGCAGGTTTCCTGCTGCTCAGCCCACAGGAGTCCGTCCCTGGTCAAAGCTTTATTTTTTTTTGAAATCTGCCACCTTCTCCAGATCAGCAGAAAGCTGATGGGTACTTTGTTTGATATAAGAGCAAATGCTCGGCTGTCCAGTCAGAAACAACAGCAATATTCACCGAGAGAACCTTCCTCTATTTGCAATCCGGGACGTAGTAGAGGAAGGACCACCTTTGCACATCAGCCCCTAATCAGATCTGCAAAGAACATTTGGGGTGCTTGGGGGCAGCTCTCCAAAGGCTGCAGGACTTATTTATTGATACAAGTCTCCTGGGAACACTTGCGTTCAAGGATCAAGAGCGTTTAAGAGGTTTATGTAGTGTAATATTCAATGGAAAAGTGTGTAAAATAGATTACACAGTAGTATCTATCTAATCTGTTAAGAAATGGGAAGAAATCCACCAAAATGTTAAAATGGACCTCTCTGAATGCTCATGAGATTATGGATAAATTTTAGACTCTTTATGCTCTTTGTATTTACCAAAACACCACAAACAGCTTGTACTATGTTAACACACTTTTGAAAAGTTTTTAGTAGTTGATAATAGGTAGCATGTTTAGTTTTGTGTGAAAGTTTGAGGTGAAATGCTATTTGAGTTTTAAAATTATTTTACTCTTAGCAGGGTAATGTAGCTAATAACTTCTGATAGTGATGGATATTATGTTCTTTAAATTACATAAAATTGTTTTGAATCAAAAGAATCAGTCTGCAAATAACTGAATAAACTACTTAAGATATTTATACCCATTTGATCTAGTAGTTCGGAGAAGCTATCTTAAATATTAAATATAGAAGACAGTTATCCATGAAGATGCTCATCACAGCAGTATTTTAAAAATAAAATGGAAACAAACCCTTAAAGACATTTTAATGTATGTTTTAAACTAAAAGTATGAAATAAAATTTAAATAAAAAACATGAAATCATTAAAAATGATAACCAGAAAAATTTTAGTAAAATGGAAAATGCTTGTGTTTCAATGTTAAAAGAACAAAAACCTAGCAAACAAAATTGTATGCAAAGTAAAACTACACATGAAGATTATAAGTAGTATTTACTGCCTAGAGCTGTAGTGAGAATTAAGTGAAATAATATATCTGAACCTTTAGCTAAGTAGTAGATGTATTGTAGCATTCAATAAATGTTAGCTCTTAGTTTTCTATATATGTGTATAGTGAAAAGACTAAAGAAAGGGTTATTCAATCATCTTTTAATTTGGTGGAGTTATGACTGATTTGCAGGAGAGTTTTCTTTCCACTTGTATTTTCCAAATACTTCATAATGAATGAACAAATATTTCTTTAGCTATGGGGAAATAAATTATATAAACAAAAATAAAGGTCATTCTGTGTTTGGATTCCTCATTAAATTGACAGTGATGAGGGTTGCAGGGGAAGGGAGATCTTGTGATGGCCTTGAACACTCCAGCTGATCCAGCTATTGGATTGGGATGGTGTCACCAGCTCACACAAGATCATGGAGGTGATGGCCACAAGGTGACACTTAGAAAATCAAATAAAGGTACAACACATGCAGGCAAACTTAACCCTATCACACAGGGCCAAGGAAGGCGCACTCTGGGACACAACTTAAGGATGGATTGAAGAAGGAGGCCTCTGTGGGCTAGCCTCCTCTGCTCAGAAGTGGCTGGGTGCACAGTGGGGCATCTGCTTAGATAATGATACATTTCTCCATCAATTCCAGGGGCACTGGGTATATTTTTGTATTAACCAGTCAATCAGGAAAATGTCATTGAGTGTTGACCTGTCCTGCACAATTTGCTCTAATCCAACAACCAGTAAAATGGCCTCTGTGATTGTCTTTCTGGGCATGGTGGTGAGGGCTATGTGGGGAAAGAGGTGGTCATGCTGGTAGGGCCTAATATGTGGATTTTTGGAAGAAACATCAATGTAGTATTCTAGGGGAGTCTTCCTGCTGTGGCTTTTATCTCCCCAGCCTCTTCCATTTCCCGCAATGTTTCCATCCCTGAGTGCACGTGTCTATAAACTACTTAACTGGAAGGCTGGTGCTTGGTAAAAAGCATTCTGAGTTCCATCATTTTGACGAGCATGTTCCATTAAATGATCTACTCCCACAGGTAATAGAAGGCATCAAGGAGTAAGTCTACTGTTTTTTTTTTTTTTTTTTTTTTTTTTTTGCAGTTGCAAGATTTAAAGAATGAAAACAGAGCTCCCATACAAAGGGAAGGGACCCAAAGAGGGTAGCCGTTGTCACCTCGAGTGCCTGGGTTTATATCCTGATCATTGTCCCTCCTGCTGTACTCTCAGGTGATAGATGATTGGCTATTTCCTTACCTCCTGTTTTTGCCTAATTCGCATTTTAGCAAGCTCCCTTTACTACCTGATTGGTCGGCTGTGAGCTAAGTTGCAAGCCCCGTGTTTAAAGGTGGATGTGGTCACCTTCCCAACTAGGCTTAGGGATTCTTAATTGGCCTAGGAAATCCAGCTAGTCCTGTCTCTCAGTCCCCCCTCTCAATAGGAAAACCCAAGTGCTGTGGGGAGGTTGGCCGATGACCACTCTAACTGCTTCCTGCTGAACTGGGGTGTAGTAGAGGTCATGCAGTTGAGATTTCCTTGGGAGGGGTGGCTTCGATGTCATAAACATTGGAGCATGGGCTAGCAGGCTGGTCCAGGGGTCCACAGTAGATTTTAGTCATGGACTGCAGCTGGGGCTCCATTTGAAGAACGATTTGTAGCTTTACAGCTTTGATTTTGGAAGAGACAAACTTAACAAGGAGGTTAAAGATATCGGGAGTGAAATGTATGGCCTGAAGTGCAGGGGATTATTTTTTTGGGCACACTTCATAAGCCCTGACTATCTGCTTGATAGTTTTAAAAAGGCCTGGTCCAGTAAATAATGATTTGACCATCTGATGGGTGCTATCAATGCCTAAGTGAAAGGTTTTGTGAAGGGTTTTGAGTAATTTCCATTGGTTAGCTGCTGGTGAAAGTATTTTTCCTTCTTTGGTGGCTAGCCATCTTGAGGAGAGGAAACTATATCCTCATGAGGTTCCCCATTCTATTTCTTCTGCTGAGTACTGGGGCTAGGTTTCTTGGAGGGGATTACCCCATACTAGGGGTCTTTCTATAAGCATTTGTAATGGAGGGTCCTGTCTTGCGGCTCTTTTTGCTTTAATATCCGCTTGGCAGTTCCCTTCTATTTCCCTTTCCTTTCCTTTCTGATGACCCCAGCAGTGTAAGACTACCACCTCTTTAGGGTTCTGTACCACCAATAATAATCTCCTAATGGCTTCCTGATGTTTGATAGATGTTCCCTTGGAAGTTAGGAATTCCCTTTCTCTCCATATTGTTGCCTGGGCTTGGAGGACTAGGTAAGCATACTTAGAGTCTGTATATATATTTACCCTTTTTCCTTCTCCTAATTTTAGCGCCTGAGTGAGGGCTATTAGTCCTGCCAGCTGAGCACTAGTTCCTGGAGTGAGGGGATTACTTTCAAGTATTCCATTATCACTGACCACTGCATACCCTGCTTTTCGAAGTCCTTTTTCTACAAAGGAACTTTCATCAGTATACAAGTTGAGGTCAGGATCAGTCAAGGGAACCTCTAAAAAGTCCCCTCGAGTGGCGTAGGTTTGAGCAATTACTTGTTGACAGTTATGTTCTATCTTTTCTTCATTGTCTGGAAGAAATGTGGCTGGGTTAAGAGTTGCACAAGTGCACATTTGCAGCACTGGCCCTTTAAGTAATAGAGCCTGATATCTAAGTAAACGGTTGTCTGACAGCCACAAGTCTCCTTTAGCAGTAAGTATGCCGTTCGCATATATGTCCACACAGTAAGATCTCTTCCCATTATTATTTTAACTGCTTCAGATACTAAGACTGCTACTGCCGCCACTACCCATAAACAATGAGGCCAACCCTTTGCCACTACATCAATTTCTTTACTCAGGTATGCCATGGGTTGCAAGCTGGTCCCTTGGACCTGTGTAAGGATTCCTAGAGCTATTCCTGTTTCTTCTGTGACATATAAAGAAACTCTTGCCCCGTTGGCGAGCTTTACACTGGGGCTTGGGTTAGGGCCGTCTTTAGGGCCTAGAAAACCACTTCTGCTTCAGGTGTCCATCTTACTAAATGGGTATTGGCTTTCTGAGTTTCCTTAATTGGTGTATATAATGGCCTGGATATTTTGCCGTACCTGGGAATCCATATTCGACAGAAGCCTGTTATGCCAAGGATCCCTCTTAGTTGCTTTAGGGTTTTGGGATGAGGATAAGCCAGTATAGGCTGGATACGTTCCTCACTGAGGGCCCTGGTGCCTTTGGATAATTTTAGCCATAAGTATTTAACCTGCTGTGAGCAGAGCTGAGCCTTTGGTTTGGAAACCTTGTAGCTACAGGTGGCAAGGAAATTTAAGAGCGCTTGGGTAGCTTGATGGCACAAGGCTTCTGAACGGGCAGCTAAAAGTATATCATCCACATACTGAAGGACAAGAGTGTCCAGGTATGAGAACTGGCTCAAGTCTTGGGCTAATGCCTGGCCAAATAGATGGGGGCTATCCCTGAACTCTTGGGGTAAAACAGTCCAGGTGGGTTGAGACATTGGGTTTGAAGGATCTTCAAAGGCAAACAATAATTGAGAGTCAAGATGTACAGGGATGCAGAAAAAGGCATCCTTAAGGTCCAGGACTGTAAACCAGTCTGCTTCCTCTGATATTTGGGAAAGCAGAGTATACGGGTTGCCAGTGGTCTCAGTGTTTTCAGGCTATGCCCTTGTTTACATTGACAACAAGGTAGTATCGGAGTGTTGTAGGGTCATGGAGAAGACCTTCAATTATCAATCATAGGTTTTAAATTTACCCTGGCTTTTAAAGGAATAGGGCATATTGTTTTTTACTATTTCTATCTTTCTCTTTCTTTCTGTCTTTGACTCCCTCTTTGTCTCTCTACCTCTTTATCCTCTCTGCCTCTGTCTCCCTCCTCTCTGTCTCCCTCTCTTTCTCTCCTCTTAGGCATTTACAAACTTGGGGCCTTGGCAAAGGTGGTGGGGAAAGGGTCCCACATAACTGCCCATGTCGAGAGCTGTATACCTAAATCGGAGGGACACCAGGGACAAGACTCCCTGGGTTTATAGCCTAGATGCGTAAGGATGCAGCATAGAGCTTCCTTAGATCCCTCTGGAGATACAACTTGCTAGAGGAAATGAAAGTCTGAACTATTAGTACCTAGGAGGCAGGGATCAGAGGAAGTAGATTCAGAGGTAAGGAGAATTTTGGGGCTACACTTTCAAGAAAGTCATGGTCGGGACCCAGGAGGTATGGGTCAGAAAGAAAGGTAGGGGCACACTCATGGGTGACTGTTGAGTAGAGGCTTCTGGCTGCGCCAAGATCTCAACCGGCTAACGCCAGGAGTTCAGGATGACAACTTTCTGCCTCTGGTCAGCCCTTGGCTTCTCCAGGAAAATTGAAAGCGGAAGCTGGTTCTAGGCAGACGAATGGTCCCAACCCAGAAGGGTTGGGGATTGTTAGAAAGCCCTTCCCCAGACAGCCTCACACCTGAGTCTTAAGTCCGGCGGCCACGCTAATCCTTTTTAACTGGCTGACAGGTGCCCGGTATTTTCCTCCAATTCCAAGGAAGGATAGGACAGAATAGCAAGCAAAAGTGGTCCAATATTACTCACCACTTTGGAGGTCCCTTCGTGGTTGCCAAATGTTACCGGGGTCCTTGCTCCCAGAGCTCCCATGATGGTGGCAGGACACTTCCAAGATGGCGGCGGGCCACTTCCAAGATGGCAGCAAGCCTCATGTTCTCTGACCTGGGGTTCTTGGCCTCACGGATTCCTAGGAATGGAATCTTGGGCCATGCAGTGAGTGTTATAGGTCTATTAGAAGCCGTGGGTCACGGAAGAGAACCGTGGAACCCAGTGACTAGTGTTCAGCTCGATTAGGATCAACCTGGGCACTTAGCCATGCAGGAACAATGGCAAGCCTTTAGCCCGATCGGGAGTGGCAATGGGCGCCTCGCTGGATCAGGAGCACAGAGGACACCCTGCCAGATCTGGAGGGATGGAAATCAGCAGCGGGTCTGTGATGGCAGCAAATAGCAGTGGTGGACGGCGAGGGAAAAGCTCAGCTTGAGTCGTAACAAACACGGACCAGAAGAGTGCAGTTGCAAGATTTAATAGAGTGAAAACAGAGTTCCCATACAACAGGAGGGGACCCAAAGAGGGTAGCCTGGAGTAAGTCCACTTTTAAAACAGTCAGTGGCACAAGCTTTGGGCCAAGCAAAGTCTTCATACTGGAAGCTGTTTGCTCCACTATGGCCAAAGATGGGCTTCCCATGTCACTCCCTTTTCTGTATTGGAGGTAAAGACAGGCACTGGGGTAGGGGCGGGTAGGTGGCACGAGGTCTTTACCACCAGCCAGCAACTCTTGAAGCCCCCTGGAAGGACTTGCTTTGTCTCTTGGTGCCAATGGATGACATATTTTGCTTTGGGGCTGCTGATGGTATGTGCAACTCTCCGTAGAGTTTTAGCGGGGGTCATTTGAACAAAGGTAGAGTCAGTTTCTGACTTTCCCATCTTTATTTCCGCTTGGATTCGGGGCTAAGAAACTAATTTCCTGCCTTGTTGAATGCAGAACCCGGAGGCACCTTAACCTTTGATGACTGAGTTAAACTCTCGAATAGGCTGAATAATCATTAGGATTTAAATTAAGGATTAAACACTCCACAGGGCTCCCAGTGTGAGTGTACTCTGAGTACATGCGGCTTCTGTGGCTGTCAGTGTGGCAGCGAAGAATGTGATCTCAGAGTCTCTTGAGGCTCAGCTTGGGCTGGCAAACATGGATTCAGTCTCTGAACTTGTAATGCAGAATCCCTGCGCCACTTATCATAAAATCCAGGCACTCCTACAGTACCAATTAGCTCAAAGCAGGCTTTGCAAATATTTGAAAAGTCAAATCTCTACCTTGAATGCATCCAAGGCTGGCCTGCTGTTAACAACGGTACTCGTCATGCTATGGTTCTGGTTTCAACTTTGCTACTAACTTGCTGTGTGACCTTGGGCCAGTCAATCAGCTTTTCTGGAGCTTCTAAGATGAGACAGCTGGGTATGAGGATTGGTCCTGCTCAAATTTTGATGATTCTACTTTAGGCAGGGACTTCAAAGTTCCCACTTTCTTCTTGTGTCTGTTCTCATGAAGTACCCTTAACCTTCAATGCCCCCATCTACCCAACGATTATTTAAGATATACACACAGAATATCAAGAAATCACATCTTTTGATCTCCTGCCACGTAGTAAAGCACTTTGGAAAATCAAAGATGTGCCACAACCTGTGACCTTTGGCAATTGTACGAATTCTATAGGACACTAGTTCCCTAATATTTAATGAATCATTGGGAAAAAAGATGTTCGAATTTCCGTAAGTTTGGTTAATACTACATACTATATCACTGTCTTTTTTTGTGAGACAGAGTCTCAATCTGTCACCCAGGCTGGAGTGCAGTGGCATGATCTCAGCTCACTGCAACCTCTGCCTCCCGAGTTCAAGTGATTCTCCTGCCTCAGCCTCCCAAGTAGCTGGGACTACAGGTGTGTGCCACCACGCCCAGCTAATTTTTTGTATTTTTAGTAGAGACGGGGTTTCACCGTGTTAGCCAGGATGGTCTCAATCTCCTGACCTTGTGATCCACCCGCCTCGGCCTCCCAAAGTGCTGGGATTACAGGCGTGAGCCACCGTGCCCGGCCATCACTGTCTTAAAAATGTATAATGCATACTAGTTTTGTGCCCTGAGAAGCTGTTTAGCCAGCATTTTAACCTTCCAAACTATTCAACCACTGTGATCGTCTTTGTCTGTTCGGCTTATAATTTCCTTGCCACCCCTGCCACCCCCAGCAACAGTTGATTAGACTAGAGATGGGTATCTCACCCAAACTGGGCCAGTCAGCTGTAGTGGTGGACCTTCGATCCACAATGTGCAGTGAAGCAGCAGAGAACATCAGTCTGAAGAACAGAGCAGATAAGCAAAGAGGAACGAGGTGAAAGAGTATCTACATGGCATCCCGGATCCAGTTCATTCCTCAGGTCGGCTGCCTGTGGGTTCCTGAGATACTTCTGTATCCTTATAATAAGTTCTTTTCTGCCCAAGCCACTGTGAGTCATTTCTGTAACTTACAATGGAAAAAATATTATTTCCTTCCTTCCTTCCTTCCTTCTTTCCTTTCCCTCCCTTCCTTCCTTCCTTCCTTCCTTCCTTCCTTCCTTCCTTCCCTCCCTCCCTCCTTCCTTCCTTCCTTCCTTCCTTTCTTTCTTTCTTTCTTTCTTTCTTTCTTTCTTTCTTTCTTTCTTTCTTTCTTTCTTTCTTTCTTTCCTTTCTTTCTTTTCTTTCCTTCCTTCTTTCTCCTTCTGTCTGTCTGTCTGTCTGTCTCTCTCTCTCTCACTCTTTCTTTCTTTTTTTTTGAGGCAGAATCTCGCTCCGTCACCCAGGCTGGAGTGCAATGGTGCAATCTTGGCTCACTGCAACCTCCACCTCCTGGGTTCAAGTGATTCTCCTGCCTCAGCCTCCCAAGTAGCTGGGATTACAGGCATGTGCCACCACGCCCGGCTAATTTTTGTATTTTTTAGTAGAGATGGGGTTTCCCCATGTTGGCCAGGCTGGTCTTGAACTCCTGACCTCAGGTGATCCACCCACATTGACCTCCCAAATTCCCGGGATTACAGGCATGAGCCACTGCACCCGGCCCTTTCTTTCTTTTTTGGCATGCTTAATAGCATTTCCTTGAGCTTGCAGGATAGTTAACAATAATTTCTTCTAGCATCTCCTGGGAGCTGGGACAGGCTAAGCTGGGGAGTGCTCTAGCACTAAGACTAGAATTGTGGCAGAACTGTGGCAATTAGCTTCTGGTTTTTGGAAAGTAGGTAAGGGTGGTTTAGGAACAAGTCATCTCTCAGAGCAAGCGGAAGAAACCTAAATAAGCAAAACTGTGTCCAGAACAAGGGAGTGGCCACTGTGACATGCAAATTGTTACTCTTTGGAAAGACAACAGTGGCTCAAAGGTGTACTAATTGTGCTTTTATATTTTATAATGCTTGACATCTTGGGGGCCTTGCTGACTGTGGAGAAGCTGCCCCGCCCAGGGTTAGTTAATTCCTGGAAATCATCGATGGCTTATCTCTGAGCCTGCCTTTCAAATGCTGACCCACTGATCCATAGCCACGCCCCAGTCACCTTCTTCACTGAACACTCATGTAACAAGCCAATATTCCCCTGCCCTACATCAACTCAGGGCCAGGGACCAGATACCTAGGGGCAGCTTTATGCCACCAAAGCCTGCCGGGCTTATTCAAACTAGCCAATCCGAAGCTGTTTACCCTGCCCTGGGTTTCCCACAGAAACCCCAGTAACAGCTGTGGCCATGCCTTCCCCTGCCTCCTCCCTCCTCAGTGACTCTGATGTTTCCCCACGTGACCCTGCACAATGTGCTATGCCTCATTTCTAGGGAAGCTGTGAGTAACACTCAACTTTTCCTTCAAATGCATTGACCCCTCCATGTTGCCACTCATTTTATAAATTAAGTCCCAGGCACGTATTAAAAAGCATCAGAGTGAAGGAGACAACCGATGGGCTATTTCATTCATTTCATTAAAATCTTAAAGAATAGGAAAATAGGCTTTTTAAAACCAAGGAAATCAAAGCTCAGAAAAGTCAGATGACGTGTCTTCCGGTCAAATAGACGGCCCCAGTGGAGGCAGATTCGAAATCATTCCATCTGATGCTGAAGCACATACTCTTAATTACCACTAAGACATAGAGTCCTGGGTCCACGCCATGCTAGGGGCTGAGCACACAGGACTGGCTATGACAGGTATCGTTTCTATCTTTATGGAGTTTACATTTATTTTAGTTGGGAGACAGACGTGGATAAAATGGTTCTACAGATAAATGTATACTTTGAAACCAAGGAAATGCTAAAAGTACAAAGTAGCCAAGGAGTTAATTAAGAGATTATTTTCAATTTGCAAATAGCCTGAGGTTGGAGGAAGGTGGCAAATGTTATTAAGTGAATGAATGGAGATCACTGGGGCTGGTTTTAAAAGTAAAAAAACCAAAAATGGGTGAACTTAATAATATATTTTATGTAACCCAACATATCCAAAATGTCACCATTTTGACATGTAATCAATATAAAATATTGTTAACAAGATATTTCACATTCTTTTCACAATACGCCTTTGACATCCAGAGTATATTTTATACTTACAGTGCATCTCAATTCAAACTAACTACATTTCAAGGGCTCAATAGCCACATTTGACCAGTGACTTCATACTCCATATTGAACAACATAGGGATGGATGATTTAGGTTCAAAGTACTAGCTTGATAGCTAGATTCCCACTGCCCTTTGGAGATAACAATTCTGGCGTCTGTTGTTGCTAATATGAAATATGATGTCAGTGTGATTGTCATTCCTTTATAGGTAGCTTTTTTTCCCCTTTGGATGCTTTTAAGATTTTTTTGGTCTTCGATATTTTGCACTTTCAATATAATGTTGCTGGAGTTAACTTATATTTTTCTGCTGATGATTCTGTGTGTCTTTCAAAGACCTATGTCTCTTCTTGAGAACAGTTTTGACCATTTTTGTTGAATAATGCTTCTCCTTTTTTTTTCAATGTCTACTTCCAGAACTGGTATCAGATCTACGTTTGATTTTGTCATTTTATTCTCCATGTTTCTTAAGAGCTCTTTTATAATTTCTATTTATTTCTCACTACTGTATTTAGAGTATTTTTTTAGCGCTTTCTTCTGGTTTACTTAATTTCTTACCCGCTGTCTAATCTGCTTAAGGAATGTGCTTTGGGTTTTTAATTTCAATGGTTAAGTTTTTCATTTCTAAGTCTCCTCTTAATTCTCTTTAAAATACGTCTTTTATAAAATTCTGATCCATTCTTTCACTATAGTTCTGATTGCTTCTCCCATCTCCTTCATTCTCTTGTTTTTAGTAGTCTTTTTAAAGACAATTTTATAGTCTTTTTCAAATTGTCCTGTTAGCTCCAGTTCTCCATTTGATGCCCTTGCAAACTCACCCTTATTGTATTTCATGTTCACATTGGATTTATACTTTTTATTGTTAACTCATCTCCAGTCGGGTTTGTTTCATAGTGGGTGGTGGAGATGTGTCTGCAGTGGGATTTTGGTTTTGCATTCGCAAGGGTCCTAAGAGTATTACTGGTCTGGACTAGCTGGGTATTCCTTTCTTAGCAGGAAGTTTTCTTTATCAAGTGGGTGGAATAATTTCTGACTATGCATCTCTAGTTTCTGAGTTTCTATTTCTTTTTGTTTCCCATCCATGACCCCAGAAGGACAAGTTTTCTTGCTCTTTTTCCCTTCATAGGAACAAAGTTTTGTTGCTTTGACTGGAGAATGGAGTAGCTCTTCATAGCTCCAGGCTCCATGCAGGGGCTTATACCTGGCTTCCAACTCCTAGGTGTTACACCTCACTCAAGTGTCAGAACCCTAACTCCAGATCTGATGTTTGGGTGAAGTACCCACAGGAGGCATAGTCAATGAACTCCCATTTACTGCATCACTTGGCTTTGAGATCTTTTCCTCTTTCTGGACTCTTGGGGTTTCTCTGTCTTGTTTTCTTACCAAGCTTGGTTTTACAATTTGTTGCTACCCTTTGCCCATGATTTCTGTTTGTCATGGAAAGGGGGGAACGTGTGTCTTCTCAATCTGCCCTACTGCTAGAAGCCTTTCATGCCTTGCTTTTGTAATTTAAATAAGAGGTAAGAAAAGTCTTCCTTTCTTTCCACATACTTCATATGTCCTGTGGTGGTTTAAATAGTCTTTTCAATTGAAGTGTTATTGAGACAAAATATTTTTATAACCATGTTATTATCATGTTTATGACAGGTTTAAAAAGAAAACCATCCGTAGGCTTTCCTTGTAAGGGCAGAATAGAAAAGAGGCTACATGTGTGGTTTAGAACCAGACAGGGTCCAAACCTTAGCCAGACTCTTGAGCTCTATGACATAATCTCTGTGACAGCAGACACTGCTGCCTTGACCCCTATTTAACAGACTGTGCCTGGCACCAAAACAAGCCAACACTAAATGTTCATTGAATGGATGAATAAGCAAATAACTTTGATTTTCTGAGCCTTTATGTATTCATCGGTAAAATACAAGCGACACTGCAAACATTATGTTAAGTTGTTGTGCAGCTTGGACGTGGTGTGTGTAAAGTGCTAGGCATGTTGCAGGTGCTAAAAACACTGTCCATGGTTCCAGGCAAAAGAGGAGCCTGGTTTGATTCAGAGAGTGGTCAGTATGGATCATGAGAGATTCCATAACTGGACTTTTTAGGACTCCTTTTGTGCTTTGTGAATTTCCCAATCAACGAGATTGTTTTGTTCACCTCTACTTAACTACTAATTTATCTGCATCTCTTGGCTAAGCAGGCTGTCAGAATGAAATGTAGTTCTCACGGCTCTGTGCATGGAGTTCTTATCCTCTGTCTCTCTGAAATGCTCTCCCATATACTCCTTCTCTCACAATTAGTGCTTGTTTTTCTTGCCATCCTTCCACCTTGGAAGGTAGCACCTCGCTTGTTATCTGCTCTCATCCTTAGCTTTCTCTCAATATCCTTTGAATACATCATAAAGGTCAATTTGGAATCAAATCTTGCCCTCCCTCCCTCCCTTGTTCCTGTAACTACATTGTCTCTGCAACTTGAGGTTATTGCTGAAATAATTTTTATCCTTCAGTGACTTACCTCTGTCATTTGCCTGCTTTTTAGAATTTTAGATCTATATGTAATTTAGAAGACTTTAATGGAGGGAGTTTATTTGGCTTAGCCTTCTTAATGTATGCACTGATTTGCAACTTGGGAACAATCCAATTAGTCTTTTATTGACTGTCTACCATGTGTCCATGGCTCTGCCAGCAACAGTGGGGGTACAAAGAAGTAAAAGTTTCAGTCTCTGACTTTGAGCAGAGTACAGTTTTATTGGGGGACAAACCAACAAATTATCCTATAGTTCTACCTGGAATTATAGGATAGTATTAAATAATGTGTAATAAAGTGGCAAATTATATGACTCAGACTCTTGAGTGCCATATGACTCAGAGATCAGTGTGGGCTGAAGTCATCTGTAAAGCTTCACGGGGAAGAAGGGTCTTCACCTGGGCCTTGAAGGACAGGGGAGATTTGAACAGGCAGGAGGGAATTACAGATGGTGGGGCACAAGGAGGCTCAGCATGGTGTTTCTGTAGGGTAGAGAGGAGAATCACTATTACAGAACAGAATTCATGCTGGGTGCTTAAGGTGGGCCAATTATTGGAAGCCTTAGTAGGAAAAGAGGCACTCTTCCCAAAAGAAAGCATACAAAGAAACAGATTGCAGAGGAAGTATTTCTGTGCCAAGTCACATCTCCTTTGGTCTTCTAGGTCTTATAGCATCCACCAACCCACATAAATTTCATACCCACACCACTGTTCTGGACTGGCTAGTGCCAACTGGAGAGAATTCTCTCTCCATCCAAAACTGCTCAGCCCTATAAATAGAAACCCTTACCAACTGAATTTTTGAAAGGGTTTACACCATCTCCTTTAGTTTGTTTTGGCTGTGGCTGTTGGTTACACACAGCAATAACAACTGTCCTGAGTGGACCTCCTGCCCTTGTGCCGTGTTCTGAGTCTCTCAAACCAGTTGTGACAGTGGGAGGAATTTGAGATACTTGCAATAGAGAAGAACCTCTGCTATCGTGCAGAAACCGTGTGCCCATGGCATTCCCTGTGAACCATCCTCAGACACGCCCTGCACTGCAGCAGCTTGAGGGTCACTGTCCACTGTCATATGGCCTACTTGAGCCCTAGGAGTCACCAAGTACAAGCCAGCCATTGGTTAAGAGTAGAGCAGAGAAGAAAGCCATGCATTCTTGTTAGGTAATAGCTGATCATTATAGGAAATATAGTTATCAGTTTCTTGATTATTTCTTGCTGCTTTTACCGCCTTCACTTTCTTGATCTTTTCTTCCTCTTTTTCTCAGGAAGAGCAAACTCAAGTATTATTTGCTCTTAAGAACTGTTAAGGAACAAAAGATAGTTCCTGCCTCTCCATATAAAGATATTTCAAGTGATTTTCATGGGCAAATCTGTCAGTTTAGATAGGAACAGGCTAAGATGAATCCAGAACATTTTACCTTTGGAAAGAATTTGACTTGCTAGATTTTGCTAAACTGTTACAATATCTTCAGTGAGAAGCAATGCTTCACCCAGACTGACACTCCATGGTGTGTGAAGTAGCTGAAAGAGCTTTTCACGAAATCTTTTGGTTTTCTGTCATGATAATGTTTTAAGAGACTGACATTGACAGCAGGGAGTAATATGCTGAGATGGGAGTTGCTCTTGTTTGAGCTGGAGGACTTAGGAAAGAGGCTGACCCATGTTTTATTTGCATAGTCTACACGGTATGATATGAATTATTAACATACCCACACATGCACAAACTTGACCTCACCTTGCCCTAGTAACCAAGAAAATGGCCTTATACTCGGCTGAAAGGGATACTGGAAATATAACGCAATAAAAATCAATCACTTAATGAATTAACAACAGCAATAATAACAAAGAAAGAAAGATGTGGCTTTTCCAGACCTTCGTGACTCATGTATTATATTTGCAATCTCGGTTCCTTTGTCTTCCTCTGCCCATTGTGACACCATAAACGTTGCAGATGGTGGCCAACATTAGACTCTTGCCATTGTCTAAATCTTGACATTGGCTAAATGTATTACCCCTTCCTTAACTGTAAGTGATTGCAAGTGGAAAGGCAAATATATCACAAGAAAAAAACCAATGAATAGGTGCCTGGAGCCATTTTTGAGAGTCCTGCATTGCTTCCAAGTTGTGCAGAAGTTATAAACTGGCCACACTCAAGGAAACTGCTTGGACTACAGGGAACATCACTGGAGTATCGCTTCTGAGTTTCTAGTCATTAATGTGTTCTGGGGCTGGAGGCCTGACAGTTGATCCCAGTGCATGAGTAGCATAAAAAGAAGGGTGTTCAAGCAGACCTGAAGTAGCTCCTTCTTTTGCTGCACCTGGGATCTTTGCTACATGGGACAAGTGGCAAATCTCAGCAACAGCAAGTTGCCTTTTGGTTGAAAGTATAATTCTCATTTTTATGCAACAGATGGTTATGGTTGTTACTTTTGCTTGAAGTAAATCCGTAAGACAGAAAATAAGCCCAAAAGGTCTAGAGGGGAGAGAAAAAGTTGAATATTAAGAGCTGAATCTAATTCCTTAGAAGCTGAGCAAGAATTAGGAGAGGTGACCTATTCTTTTTAATGGCTGTTGGTTTTTGTTTAGTTTCAGTTTTGTTTTTGTTCTACATAAAGATCACCCTGGGGATCTTTAATAGGTATTTGAGCAACAACTGTTTCATTTTTGGTTTTTGTATTCCTGACTGTAACGCCTACTGCTTACAAGCCTCTGATTTAAGAATGGACTGCTCATGCTGTGCTGCTTTTTAAAACAAGTCCACCTCTTCATCTAATAGGTCCTAATTACATTTGAAGGCTGGTTGGGTGAATAAATTACAAGGCCCTTCACTGGGTGGTGTAGTGTTGATCAGAAGAACAAAAATCTATTCTTAGTGGAGGAAAGAAATGTATTGGGTTAAATCATAGAAGTATAAGACGTAGGAGGTTAAGGGGTTTAAGGAGGTTTGACCATGCAGTTCTGTGTGCTTCATTTATTCATTTATTTATTGAACGAGCATATATTGGTCTCTGTATTAGCACTGTTTCAAGTGCTTGGCATCTACATAAGCGAAAAAGCAAAATCCTTCTCCTTCTGGAATTCAACTTGTAGTGCAAGAGACAGACTCTAGGTGTGAATATAATAAATAAATACATTAATTGCATGTTTGAAGGGATATGCACAACAGAAGAAAGAAACATACAGAGCATGGTAGGAAGGATCAGAAGTCCCCAGGGTGGGAGTGGGGAGGAGTTTCAAGATTGCCCAGAATGGTGAGGCTGAGAATCATCTAGAAGGTGATGTCTGAGCAGAGACTTGAAGTAGGAGAGGGCATTGAATAGGGAGATATCTGGAAGAGTGTACCAGGCAGAAGGAATAGCCAGTGAAAGACCCCAATGCTGGAGCATGCTTGGCACCATCCCGGGAGTGGCAGGAGGCCACTGTGGCTGGAGTCAGTAGACCAGGGGGTAAGTGAGGTCCAGAGGAAATGAGGGGGCCAGACCACACAGAGCCTTGTAGGCTACCGAACAACATATTTCACTCTGAGAGAAACGGGGAGCCACATAGAGTTCTGGGCAGAGGATTGATGTCATTTGACTTAACATTTTAAAAGAATTAGTTAAGTCGCTCTGTTACAAATAGAATGTTGCAGGGTCAAAGGCAGAAACCAGAACCAGTTAGAAGGCTATCGTAGTAACCTGAGCCAGGGGAGCAGCCAGGAGGCAGTGGGAAATGATCGGGTCCTGGGTATATCTTGAAGGCAGAATCAGCTTGGTTTCCTCATGAATTGACTACTGGGTATGAGCAAAGGAGAGAGAAGAGGATGACACAATTTTTGGCCTAAGTACCTGGAAGATGGAGCTGCTATCATGAAAATAGTGGAAGCTGAGGTTAAAACAGGCTTTGAGGGAAGGACCAGGAATTTGGTTGTGGACATGTTGTGTGTAATATATCTATTAGATGTGCAAGTTAATATCTGATAGTAAGAGTTGGATCTATGAGTCTGGACTTTGGGGGAGAGGTTGAACTGGAGATGGAATTTTGATAGTCATAAGCAAGAGGGTGGTATTAAGTTCTTGGAACTGGATGGGAAGGAGAAAGGACAAGGTCCAAGAACTGAGCCTTGGGGCACTCCAACATTGAGATGTCCAGGAAAAGGGGTAAATTACAAAGAAGACTGAGAAAGCACTGTGAGGGAAACAGGGAAGTGGGAAGAAAGTCAAGACTTTGGTGTCTAGGAAGCTGTATTATGGAGGAAACAGTGATCAACGTGCTACACTGAGTATTGCAGATGCAGCAAGCAAGATGAACCCCAAGGGCTGACCACAGAATATTGAACCAGAAACAACAAACATAGGCGTCTTTATTTTTATTTTTAACTTTATTAAAATACTGAGTTTTATTTCACATGTATAATTTTATCTCCCCACCATTTCCATGTCTGACCACCGCTATTACTATATCCTATCATAACATTCCATACATACTTAAAAAACCAAGCAAAGAGTGGAGTTCCATCTTAAAAAACTAAACAGGTATTTTGGACAACACATTCTTGGCAATGGAACCTAGACAACATTTATCAAACACGGTAGGGAAAGTTCTCACTCTGCATTATAAAAAGGACAGCCAGATATCAACTGTTGCAGAAATGAAATAAGACAGAAAATTTTTGACAAATTGTTTAAACTATTTTTCTTTTTTTTTTTATTATTATTATACTTTAAGTTCTAGGGTACATGTGCACAACGTGCAGGTTTGTTACATATGTATACCTGTGCCATGATGGTGTGCTGCACCCATTAACTCGTCATTTAGCATTAGGTATGTCTCCTAATGCTATCCCTCCCCCCTCCCCCCACCCCACAACAATGAGAACACATGGACACAGGAAGGGGAACATCACATACCGGGGACTGTTAAACTATTTTCTTAAAGAGACTTCCTCCACTGCCAGAGATCTTGAATAGCCTCCTGGTAAATCCTCCGGAAGCAGTTCTTCACATAATTGAAGAACTTGGCTTCCACTTTGGGAAAAGAAAGACCTTTTTCTACATTTGCTTGCATTTTTGCTTTAATGTCTTCTACAGAGCTAGGTCCTTTTGGTGTTTTAGGAGTTTTTTCCTGTTTTTTGAAAAATTCTTGTCCTTTTGTTCTTGGTGTTAATGATGGTTTTGTCTTTTCTATTCTGATTTGACTTTTGTGCATTTTTTGGCTGGAGTATCTTGTATAGATTTCTTCACTGGTGCTTTTCCTTCAGTTTCCTCATCATCAAAATCATCATCACCATCATCTTCATCAGCAGCAAGTTTTACTTGTTTCTGTGGAACCTTGCTACCACCTCCAGTGGCAGACCGCTTTCCAGATATACTTAAGAGTCTCACATCCTCCTCCTCTTCGTCTTCTGACTCTGCGTCTTCCTCCACAGCTACTAAGTGCTGTCCACTAATATGCACTGGCCCTGAACCACACTTCAACCGTAAGATCACTGGTGGTGTTATTTCAGAGTCCCCAAGGGAAACCGTTGGCTGTACAGACATTTTCAAAGTTGCCAGTGTTACTTTAATTGGACTGCCTTCGTAATTCATTGCCTCTCTTCGACAATGTCCAATTCATCCTTTGCACCCGCCCCTAAACTGACTGTTCTTAAAAATAACTGGTGTCCATTTTCATCATTATCCACCTTAAAGTGGTAATCTTTGTCGGCCTTTAGTTCACAACCGAAAAGATAGTTCTGGGGCCTCAGGGGGCTCATGTCCACATACATGCCCATCGAATCTTCCATCAGGTGGCGGCACACACTTAGATGGGAGAGAAGGTGGATGGATATAAACAACCACTGCTCAAGAGAACAGCTGCGCAGGACGGAATCACACAGGGGAAGCATCTTTATTTTTTTGAGGATTTTTTTTTTTTTTTTTTTGCATAGAGGAGGGCAAAGAAACAGGACAGCAGCTAAAAGAAGAGGAAGTTGGGTATACATATATATATGTGTATATATACACATACATAGAATATATATACATATATACACATATATGTAGAATATATATACATATATAGAATATATACACATATATATATACACATATATATAGAATATATATACATATATATATATAGAGAGAGATGGAGTCTTGCTCTGTCGCGCAAACTGGAGTTCAGTGGCACAATCTCGTCTCACTGTGACCTCCTGGGGTTCAAGTGATTCTCCTGCCTCAGCCTCCTGAGTAGCTGGGATTACAGGTATGCACCACCATACCCGGCTAATTTTTATATTTATAGTTGAGACAGAGTTTTGCCATGTTGGCCGCACTGGTCTCGAACTCCTGACCTCAGGTGATCCTCCTGCTTCAACCTCCCAAAGTGCTGAGATTACAGGCATGAGCCACTATGCCTGGCCAAGAGAAGAATCTTTTTCAGATGAGAAAAATAACTACAGTTTTGTATGCTGATGACAGCAATCCAGTAGAGAGAGAAATAATGATGAGGCAGGAGAGACAGGAAAGAATTGCTTGGATGCTGTGAGTGTCTTGCTGGCTGCAGAGTGGAATAGTTGCTGAGAGATCCAGCTATGAGGTGGCATGCTAAGGAAAGTAGAAGAAAACTGAAGGAGGCTGAATTGCTAGTCATGATGGAGTTGCCATCTAAGTCCAGGATTGCCTGCTTCTGGATCTTTATTTCTTGAAGAGAAATAAACTTCTCTTTTTTTCCAACATGTTATTAGGAGAAATTTCAAACATGTAGGAAACTGGGAATAACTGTATAGCAAACACCTGCCATCTGGTTTCTACAATTAACATCTCTCTACACTTATTCTGATATACCTATCCATCTCTCTATCCATTAATTTCTCTTATTTTTAGTGCATTTCAAAGTGAGATTCAAACATCAGCATATTTCACCCCTAAACACTTCACCATGTATACTGCTACCTAGAGTTTAATATCTAGTTATATTTCTTTTTTCTTTAAGATAAAATTTACCTAAAATGAAATGATCTAATTTTACTGTACTATTTGATGAACTTTGAAAGATGCATGCACCTGTATAACCCAACCTCCATTAACACATGGAACAATACCCTTACTCCAGAAAGCTCCTTCATTCCTGTTTCCAGTAAGCCCCGGCCTCCATCCCATCCCCAGAGGCAACTGCTATTCTGATTTCCTTTTTCATCATTGATTAGTTTTCCCTATTCTTTAGATAAATGGAATCACATCATAAATACTCTTTTGTGTAAGGCTTTTTCACTCAGATAAAATGTTTTTCCGATTAAGCCATGTTGTTGTATTTATCAGTAATTCATGGCTTTCTGCTGCTAAGCAGTATTCCACTGTATGAATATAATATGGTTTGTTTATCCATTCTGCTATCAGTGGTCACCTGATCTGTTTCCAGTTTCTGCCTATTGTGAATAAACCCACACGAACAGTCTTGTACAATTAGTTTTAGGGACATTTGACTTCATTTTCTTGTATAGAATTGCTGGGTCAAGTAATAGTGTATTTGTCAGGGTTTTCTAAAGACAGAATCAATAGTGTGTGTGTGTGTGTATGTTTGAGTGTATGTGTGAGGAGAGAGAGTGAGAGAGAGAGAGAGTGTGTGTGTTTATTTTAAGGAATTGCTTCACATGACTCTGGGGTTGGCAAGTTTAATATCGGCAGGGTAGGCCAGCAGGGTTGGCCAGGGAAATATTAAAGGTGTAGCCCAAATCCAAAGACAATCTGGAGGCTTTCCTCTGTTTGGGGGAACATCAGTCATTTCTCTTAAGGCCTTCAACAGATTGAATGAGGCCCATCCACATTACAGAGGGTCATCTGCCTTATTCACAGTCTACTGATTGAAATGTTAATCTCCTCCAAAAAATAACTTCACAGCAATATCTAAATTGGTGTTTGACCACGTATCTGGGTACCATGGCCTAGCCAACTTGACACATATATGCTTAGTTATTAAAGAAACGATCAGGCCAGGCACAGTGGCTCACACCTGTAATCCCAGCATCACCTGACCTCAGGAGCTGAAGGCCAGCCTGGCCAACATGGTGAAACCCTGTCTCTACTAAAAATACAAAAATTAGCAGGGTGTGGTGGCACCCGCCTGTAATCCCAGCTACTTGGGAGGCTGAGGAGGGAGAATCGCTTGAACCCGAGAGGCGGAGGCTGCAGTGAGCCGAGTTCGCTCCACTGCACTCCAGCCTGGGCGACAAGAGTGAGACTCCATCTAAAAAATAAAAATAAAATATAAAAAAATAAAGAACTGAGCAGATATTTTTCAGAGTGGTCACACCATTTTACGTTTCTACCAACAACGTACACAGATTTCAGTTGCTCCACACCTTTCCCGCCATTTGATGTTACTCGTTTTAATTTTATCCATGCTAGTGAGTGTTGATTGGTGTCCTATTGTGGTTTAAATTTGCATTTTCAATAGCAAATGCTTTTCAGAACCTTTTTCCATGTTTATTGGCCATGCACGTATCTTCTTATTCACATGTTTTTTTTTTTTCCTCCAGTTATTGATTCGATTGTTTGGCTTTTATTATTGAGTTTGTATTGAGTTGTTTTTAGTAAATATTGTTTTCCTATCTGTAGTCTAGTATATATTTTCTTCATGATGTCTTTTAATCAAAAGTATTTAATTTTGATAGTCTAATTTATAAAAATTTTCCCATTTATGGTCACTGCCTTCCTGTAACCTGTCTAAAGAAACTCTGCCTACCCCCAGCTTGCAAAGATGTTCCGTGATTTCTCCAAGAAGCCCTATAATTTTACCTTTCATAATTAGGTCTCTGATTTATCTTGAATTAGTGTTTGAGTGTGGTATGAGGTAAGGGGTCAAGGTTTGTTGTTTTCCATATGGATTTTAGTTACTCCAACCCTATTAGTTGAAAAGATTTGACACCTTTGTAAAAATCACGTTCTGTAACTATAGGCCTATTTCTGAACTCCAGTCTGTTCTGTTGATCTATTTGTTGATCTTCATACCAGGACGAGTTTGTTGATCATTATAGCATTATAGTAAGTTTTGATTTAGATTGTTTGTCTTCTAACTTTTCTCTTCTTTTTCAAGATTGACTTTGATATTTAAGTCTTTTGAATTACCATATACATTTTATTTTTATTTATTTATTTTGATTATTAATAAGTTTATTTTCATTGTCTCAAGGTCCGCTGAACTCTGGATCCAGGCTGTGTCAATAGGGTAGTGTGGTGCCTCCTGTACCTGTCTCTGCCTCCTACAGTCCTTTTTATTTATTTTATTTCATTTTTTATAATAGAGACAGGGTCTTGCTATGCTGCCCAGGCTGGTTTTGAACTCCTGGGCTCAGGCAGTCTTTCTGCCTCGGTGTCCCAAAGTGCTGGGATTACAAGCATGAGCCACCGCACCTGGCCGTGTCCTTTACCATCTTCAGAGGGCTTAGCTTGCAGTTTCAGCAGAAGGATAGACTCCCAGGAAGACTGTGAGAGAGATTTGGGGCCCAAGTTGATAATATCAAATACACTGAACTTGACTGTGTCCACCACCTTCTGGCTCTATAGAAATGAGAATTGCTAGTGAGGTTGGTGCCATTTTGTGTATCTTCTGTACCTTGATGTCCCTCAGAAATCTTGCCCCTGGTCTTCTTGTTCTAAGGACACAACAGGTTCCCTGTTTCTCTGGAGATGAAATCTAGATCTTCAGTTTTGGAACCAGATTTGGACTCTTAACTCTGGAACACCAATTTCTTCAGCAACTTGTTCTCTGGAATCAATCCCAGGGTATGGGCTTTTCATAGATGCCTTGATGAGAGTGCTTAATTGAGAGGCGCTGTAGGTGGTACAACACCATCTGGCTTCTCTACTTTGAAACTCTGCATCAGGTCGATCTTGCCCATGGCTCTGGCTTGATTCTAAAGTCCCAGGTTCTGGTCTTTTCTGGAATCCAGCTCTTCAATTCTGAAACCAAATCTGGATTCTGGACTCTTCCGTATTGATTTCTAAAGCAAGTTTTTGTTTGGTAGCATAACCTGGGTAAGGTTTTTGATTGAAGGTATTGATGAGGATTTTCAACTGATCTGTGATTTTGGTGAGACTGCGCCTGTGATTTGTTGTCACCATCTTATGTGAAGAGGTGTCTTCAGCCATGCTGGAAGAGAGTCCTGGAGGCTGAGCTACTGTCAGGGAGGCAAGAATTACCATATAAATTTTAGAATCAACTTGTCAGTTTCTATAAAAACCCAGGTAAGATTATGCTTGTGATTAGTTGAATCTATATATCACTTTGGAGAGAACTGCCATATTAAAAATGTTGAGTATTTGATCCATGAAAATGGTATGTTTATTTATTTAGCTATTTTTTATTTCTCTCAGTTATGTTTCGTAATTTTCAATGTAGAGATATTGCATGTATTTACAAATTAAATCCTAAAATTTTTATGTTTTTTGTGGTATTCTCTGTTTAATTGTTTTTATTTAATTCCATTTTCAACTGTTTGTCACTAGTACATAACATACAATTGATTTTTGCATGCATATTTTACATGGTCTGATCTTATTAAATAAATGTATTAGTTTTACTTGTTTTGTAGATTCTCAAGAATTTTCCATGTAAACAATCATGTCATCTTCAAATAAAAACATTATAGTTCTTAAATCTATGGTACACTAATATTTTGTTATTTGTAGCAGTATGTAATCATTTCTAATCATGTGAGTAGCACTAGTGAAATTTTGACAATGAACGAATGCCAAACACAATGGAGTTTGTTACAACATTGTTTATAGTTTCTAAAACTGTTTTCAACCAAATGTTCAACAGTAGAGGATTAGGTCAGTAAATTTACAGTACATAAACTTACGATGAAATATTGTGGAGCCATTCAAAGTCTCATTCTTGTATAGTCTTTAAGGGTATAGGAAAATTCTGATGTGTCATGTGGAAAACAACACTCAAGATACTAAATAATCAGAATACACTAAGTTATTCTGTGTTAAAACAAGAATTTCATAGTCTTGGTGTTTTAACACAGCAAAAGCTTATGATTCATAGGGATCAGCAGTCACTATGGATTCTCAACTGATTGTGCTCTACCATCTTGGGGCTCCAGCGTTTGAGATATGTGGCCCTTTTAGTTAATGCTACAAAGAAAGAGAGACTGGGGAATAACCAGGTTGTTCTAAGACTCCAACAACATTCCTGGCTTGCTGTCCCTGGAAGGAAGTTTATCTTATGAGCTACCACTGCCAACACACAGAGCACCTACATACCTACTATCACAGTAAACCAACGTGTTAATCAAATAATGGCCTGAGTTCCCAGAGTTCACATCATTTAAGTGTGCTGTGCACACTAGCCTGCTGATTCTCCATGTGGAGGAAGGAAGCATATCAGAATTATGTAGATAGATTATGTTTTTTATTAATATCTTTATCTAGACAGCTTTTACTGGAGATTGTTATACTTTTATTGGGAGTGGGGAAATGGGGCACTGGAAGAAAAAAAGGGAAACTGGGTATATGTATTTTGAAAAAACATTTTCCAAGGGACTATGATATGTTACTCCTCAAACCACTGATCTCAACTTTTCTTCATAAAAATGAACAAAAATTAGCAGCTTGAAGAGGTGGATCAAGCAGAGTGCCAGAAAACAGGAATTCAAACACACTGAATTCATATTTGCAGTGAGATTGGGAAAGAGATCATGTTTATAAAACAGGAGCAGACAGCCATGGGAAAGGGCAATGCTGAGAAAAAACAGATCTTGGAAAAACACATAATTTCCAAAAGAAAAAATAGCCTAAATATCACAATGGATACTTCAGAAAAAGTCTTAGAAATCAGACCAACTAATGTTATTCTCTTGGAATGCAAAAGCAAAAGTCAGAGATGAGAATTACAAATGAAAAGATAAATTAATCAAGCGATTAATAGAGATAAAAGATAAAAACAATCAATAGAGCCATAATAATAAAAAGATAAAGATAATCAAGAATAGAGCTAGGACTCAGTCAGCAGAATAGAAGTTCCAGGAGGAGAAACAGAAGAAGATGAAGAAGAGAAAATTAAAGAAATTATCTGAGCTGATATGACTTCAATAGTATCACCATGTGAAACCTCGCCTGTTTTTTTTTTAGTGTAAGTTCAGGCCCAAAAGGTGGAGGGCAGGAAACAATTTTGGAACGTAAGTCACAGCAGCTAACTGGTCAAAAGCCTAAGCTGATCATCCTAGCTCTATTTTTCACCACCTTTTTCCTGTTCCCCTTACCTTCTGCCAGCAACTCTGATGAATGAGTTTCCTTCCTGGTGAAATGATGCCAGCCTTCATTTCCACAGGATCCAAGCTCTGGGTGGTCCTGTCTTTACTGGATTTCTGCAATTTTCCGCCAATACGGTGAACCGTTGTCTACCAGACAGTCTCACTTGCTTCTATTGCACGACAGCAACCCAGTTTCCCCGTAGCCATTGGGATTAATTACCCCAGTCAGTAGAGTGACTCCTCCGCCTGTTAGTTTGGTGGTATGAGAAATAATGTGGTTGGGGTTCAGTGTCAAGCTATAATTTTATTGATATATCGCTGTGATCTCTAGCGGGAGTTTTCTTACCTTAGGCACCAGACACTCCAACCCCATCAAACTCAAGGTCATAACAAGGGAAAGCAATTCTTCAGTGGATTGTTTGGTAAAATAGGGAGAGAGACAACTCCCACATCCACACTTTACCTCCCAGACTCATGCATTCTGGCTATTGTAGTGGCCCTGCATATTGGCTGCTAATTAAAGGCATCTACTACGTCCTGTAGGGTAGCTCCCCAACCTTGCAGAATGTTGTTTCCCCCCAGTTCTTGTAATCAAACCTTTGCCATTTTATTAAGGCAGTTGCTTCTAGGTGATGGGGCACATAGTAAATCTCAAGGCTATACTTTTTTTTTTTTTTTTTTTTTTGAGACAGAGTCTCACTCTGTCGCCCAGGATGGAGTTCAGTGGTGCGATCTGGGCTCACCGCAAGCTCCGCCTCCCGGGTTCATGCCATTCTCCTGCTTCAGCCTCCCAAGTACTGGGACTACAGGCGCCTGCCACCACGCCCAGCTAATTTTTTTTTTTTTTTTTGATTTTTAGTAGAGACAGGGTTTCACGTGTTAGCCAGGATGGTCTCGATCTCCTGACCTCGTGATCCGCCCGCCTCAGCCTCCCAAAGTGCTGGGATTACAGGCGTGAGCCACCGTGCCCAGCCAAGGCTATACTTTTTTGCTATAGAACAACTGCTTTGCTGGAGACTATGTTGTTTGGGGTAACGTGGCAGCTGATAAGGCACCAATCATGATGCATGTGGAAGCACAATAGGCAAGAAAAGTAAGTCTATTAACAGAATAGGCATTTATCATGGTGAGGCCAAATTTGTTGCCCCCTCCATGATGAAAGGAGCAATGGAATCAATGTGTCCTATGTGGCTGCTTGGTATACTCAGGGATTAGGGCCATACTTGCCATTGGCTCATAGGGAACTCAGTGGTGTCAGGAACCAAATAAGCCTCGCTGGGGAAAGTCCAGGCTTCTTGACCCCAGCCATACCTTCAGGGCCACTTGGGATAAGAGCCTGAGCAAGCACTGGGGTGGCTGGGGAAAGAGGCTAACTGGCATCCACACTTAGTCATTACTGAGAGCTGGCACTGGAGTGGATGCCCTCTGGTGGGCATTTTTGTAAGAAATGATTGTCTTCTCTGTGCTCATTCTGAGAGACCCACCCACACATCTCTAGCCCAGGCTTCCCTATCACCAATTTTCCAGTATTGGTCTTTCCAAGTTTCTAGCCAGTCACTTACCTGTTAACCTCTGCCAATGACAATGTTGAGCCTTACTCCTGCTCTTCTCTTCCAGGTGAAATAGGCAGCCATCTGACTGTACTACCCAAAGTCTGCCCAAATGAGGATTTCCCTTCACCACTCTTTGAAGGCCACTCCTAGTGGATTTTACACCCTGAAAACCCCTCCATAAACTGGAGACTGGTGAGCAGGAATTCCCTATGAGGTCATCAGTGTGGGTAGAGGGAGAAGTAGTGAAGCATAAGGAAGAGGCACCTTGACGGGGAGAAAGCTACGTGCTCATGCCATTTACTTGTACCTTCTGTACTTGTTTGAGTCAGTCTCATTTAGATCTTTTCCATGTAACTACAGGTGCTGTGCCCACCTCTATGATCTGGTGACTCAGATGCTACCCAGTTCATGATGGGAAGTTTTCCTTACCGTGTACAATGAGCACACTGTTACTGAGGGAGTGCCCACACATGATGTTCTATGGGATATCAAAATAATCAAGATCCCTGTGCATTATATTATGACAAAGAAGCAGGGGAGTTATCATGGTCTCAAGGGAAAACATGTGGAGACAAATCTCTTCCGGTTATCTTTTTCAACAGAAATCGAAGAAATGGCATTTGCTGTGTTAATAGTTGCATACCTGTAGCCAGTGGCTGTACTGATTTTCTCAGTAAATTACCACATCTGGAACCAAAGCTACAGTTGTCATCCTCACCTGATTAAGTAGGTGATAATGTACAGTTATTCTCCAGACTTATCTGAGTTTTGTACAGGCCCAACAAGCTAAATAAATGGCCACTATGGTAAGACCCAGGACCCCTGTCTTTCTCAGATCTTTGATGATGGCCTTCTACATGCTGGAACTGGACAAATGAATCAGGGTGGGTCCCACCAGACCCACTGAGAAATTAATTCAATTTCTAGGGCTTGACATCGGCTCAGAGATGACTCTTATAGCCCTTGGAAAGTCTGGATATTTCTTTTTCCTTACTGCATAGTCACCCTGGAAATAAATGCAGGGCCCTCTGAGGAAGGCCTGGAGGTAGATGCACACTGTATACATGTGGTCGCACTATAGAGTTCTTCCTCAAAGAATCCAGCCTACTCTGGTTCTGTGTACTGGCCTAGGTCTGGAAAGTGGGCAAGAGGCCATGGAATCCCATTACAGTGATTCCATGTATTAGGATTCATTGTATTAGGATTCTGCTCACCAGAACCAGAAAGTTTCTTTCCACATGAGTCAAGTACACTTGAGTAAGTCTACCCATCGATTTCATTTCTAGGGACCCTACAATTCAATTAGTCATAGATGCTGTGGGTCAAAATACTTCCATTGCCACAAAAGACACCCCTGCTCATTTTAGAAATTGTGTCTATGTTGTTGCTCATGGTTAAGGGCTTCCACTCTGCTCCTGGAGCTACTCCTGGTACCAATTACAATGTTAGTCTAATCTTGTCAAAAAATAGATGGAAATTTCAGAAGGGTGAATGGGGAGAGTCTAACAAAGGAACCCTTTGCAGAGGTGCTGTTGGGTTAAGGGAACCCAATAAGACATGGTGAAGCATCCCAGGCCCAGGAAAAGTAGGGAGCTGCCACCTGCACATCCCCTGACCCCCAAGGCCTGAAAGGCAAGGAGATGGATGGTTTTCAGAAATGGTGGTGTGGGAACATCTAGTAGAATCTGTGGTCTTTGGTAGAGAAATGAAGCTACTGATGAGTTACTAAGGAGGATGCCGGGAAAGCGTATTTGCTGAATTTCTCCCTCTTCCCCCACCCATACCCCTTTAGATTTCCTGAAGGTCCTTCCCATTGGCTGACCGCAACCAATAGCCAGAGGGCAAAAAAGCCACCCTTCTCACACAGAGCGGGTTAGAAAAGGTGGACAGTGTGGATTTGAGGGTTGAACCGAGAAGAACATCCAGGGCAGGTGCTTTATCTGCCCTGGATAAAGCCCTAGATATGATTCAGCACCCATTCAAGAGCAAACTATTAACAAACTGTGGATTTAAAAAATGTCCCTAACTGGGGCCAAATAATCTACCAGAAAACAACAGCAAAACTTATACCTATTGGTGGAACTTTAAAAGAATTTCCATTTAGAAGCATCAATTTGCATAAACTCTTAACAGTGCATATGCCCATGTATGTCTTCCAATAATTTATTCTAAAATAATACTCATTCACAGAATTGATAGTACATTTATGTTCATTGCAGGATTCTTCATGAATGAAAAAAATGCTGGATGTGTTCAATAATTAAAGGTTAATGTAATAAAGTATAGCATAAACATACAATGGAATGCTGTGTTAAAAAAATTCTTTGTTGTTTTTCAGTTTACAATTAGCCTTTCCTGTGCACCTAACTATAGATCAGGCATGATCAGTCACTTTTTTAAAGTTCCATTTAGTCTTCATTATTCTGTTTGGTTTAACAGCAGCCATTTGTTTTTCAGTTTAAACACTTTTACGAAAGAGCTAGCCTTCTTAAGACATCATCATTGAGGCTGTAGGATGTCCAAGATTATTAAGATATAATCTCTTCCCACAAGGAACTCCCAGCTGAAGAGGACAAATAAGATGCCTGTATAACACACAATGTAAGAACTGTTATAGAAAATGATAAAGGAGAGGACTCCGGAAACATGCAATGGAGAGGGCTTTCTTTTGTCTGAGGTTGTAAGGAAGGCTTCCTGGAGGAGGAGGTACCTGTTCCGTGTCTCCACAATTAGGTATGATTTGACAGGTATACACAAGCAAAGGGCACCCAGATGGGGGAGCAGAATGTGTTGGAGAATAGGAAGTGGTGTGGCTTGGCAATGTTGTTCTTCATTATAATTGTGGATTAACAGAATTTTATTGAATAGCCTGGGACCTTCACCATCATTGTTTCTATGAAAAAGAAATGTTCTAATCTTTTAGACAATGCACTTTGAAGTGAAAACGTCTTTAGCAGTGAAGGCCTTTTTATATCATCTTTGAGTCTTTTGTGAGCACAGTTTAATCTGCCAATGATAATAATGCTGACTTTCTTTAACGCGCCACTTGCTGTTGGATTTCATGAGGTAATTTTTAAAGCAGGTGCCTCCTTATTGCTTATGTTGAAGATTTGGTCACGGAATATTTTGTTTTGTTTTTGTTTTTGTTTTTTTTGAGACGGAGTCTTGCTCTGTCGCCCAGGCTGGAGTGCGGTGGTGCAATCTCGGCTCACTGCAAGCTCTGCCTCCCGGGTTCACACCATTCTCCTGCCTCAGCTTCCCAAGTAGCTGGGACTACAGGTGCCAGCCACCACGCCTGGCTAATTTTCTGTATTTTTAGTAGAGATGGGGTTTCACCGTGTTAGCCAGGAATGTATGTTTCTCCCTGGGATCATCCCTTTGGGGCCAATAGTTTTTTATCAGCAGCATGTCATTTTATTTGAGGTTTCTTATAGCTGTTTAACAAGGCATTCAGTTGGAAATATATCTTGTAATTTTAATTGTCGATCACCACCCCTGGTAGGAGGGCCTTCCTCTTACCATATGGAATACAGATGTGAAGAGGATTGAAAGAGGGCAAATATAATGACCATCAATCAGGAATGTTCCAGGCTAAGGAAGAAGAGGAAATACCTGAGTGTTATCTAAATGGATGAATATGACAGCTGTTGGCCACAGGCTAGTTAGGATGTAAGAACAGTAAAAATTGAGATGTGGAAACATGCTGGAATAAAAAGTCCTTTGGCAAGATTAATACATGGAACGTGGCTTGTTCAAGGGAGGCACATATTTAGGTACTCTGCTGTCTTCTTGTAAAAGGCTGCTTGACGGGCATGAAGAAGTTCTTGAAGCAAAGCAGGTGCTACTTTTGCACAGCTGTGACCCCGAGTCTGCCAAGCAGCGGTCAGGGATGCAGCTGCTTCTTGTAATTAATCATCCCAGGCGGGCTCTGCTGCAGGTCTGCTTGCAGTTCTGTGTCCTGGGTCTTGATTGTGTCTTTTGACCACATTGCCTGGGACAGGTTGACCCTAGAGAGTGCGACAGCAGTTTTCTGGAATGTGATAAAGGGAAAAGGGGCCAGGCAGGCAGTTATCAGAGCTGGGAATAGTGCAACTGCTCCTTCAATGCAGTTGGTAGGAAGAAGCCTGGGTTGGTGCTCCATCATTATGCAGCAAACATGTGCAGAGCCGGTGGTCACAAGCATTTATCTTCAGCCATGTACATCCACTACATCCAGTCCTGCCACAGTGTCCTTGGGGTGCTCCAGCCAGAGCAGGATGGATTCCTGGAGTAAGCGTGAAGGCTGGCCCTGTAGACCTGCCGCCATCTAATCCCAATGGGACTTGCCAACCTGCCTTCCCCTGGTTCTGACATCTGGCATATCTCATGTGCTATAACAACTGAACTGCTTGCTCTTCCCCATGTTTCCTTCATGTCTGCCTTGACTCATTCTATTCCCTTTGCCCTGGAAGCTATTCCAGTGATACTATGCCCTAGAATCCAAATCCTACCTCTCCCTCCTCAAATGTCCCCTCCTCCACAAAGCCTTCCATACCTTTCCCAGCTGGGAGAGAGAGGATGCCTCTTCAAGTCATCCCATCTCTTGGCTCTTTATGTGCATGGATGTCAAATAATAATATCCTTTGTGTGGACTTGGCTCACCATAAGACCGATAGCTTCCCAAGGGCAAACTACTCACCTGGTTCACAATCCCTTGTACAATGCCTGAGAAAGTGTAGGTCCTAAATGTGTGTTTAGGGTGCAATGATCTGTTTTTTCCCCTAAAATGTTTCCAACCTGTTATCCTCTTTAGGGCCCGTTTTGTGTCTTGCAACTGATTGTCACAGCTGACTTGTTAATTTGGCTAAGTTTTTGTGAACTTTAGAGCTCAGCTAGCCGTGAAGGGCAGGAAAGAAAGCATGCATTTACTGAGCACCTACTTTGTGCCAGATCCTAATATGATATCATTGTCATACCCACTCTCCAAGAAAGATCTAAGCAACCCTTCAACTTTTATACATTCAAATTCCATACAACCTGTCCTTTGGTATGTTGACACCCTTAGCTGCCTCTTCTGTGTCCAGTTTATATGTTACCCAGTGAACAGAAATTTGTGCTTATCATGTGAGATCATTGCCACCAGCCAAAAGACCCTAAGCAGAGACCAGGTAGATATCAGGCTCTGGAGGTTGCCTCCTTTTCCTTGGGCTCCAGTGCAGTTGCCACTTAGCCTCCACAGGGTAGGGCCCATCTGGAATAAAAGACAGCTCTAAGCACCCCTTAGACACCAGATGCTCTGATAAGAAAGTGATAGAAGACAGCAAATTCCAAGGAAGAGGCCAATGAAGGGAACACAAATAGTCCAGCAAAGGGAATGCACCAACAGGCTGGAATTCTCAAGCTCATTGCATTTACAGGGGAAGCTCCATACCAATTATGCTGGCCCAATTTTGTCCTGGGCTTTGTCAACATCAGCTCCCTTTCTCATCCCCAGTAGGTAGGGGAGGCAGGAAGCTTTGAAATGTGCTACCAGGGCAACACAGCTTATCAAGTCTTTTATGAGTCATCTCTTGACACTGCTCTTGCACCCTACTTTGCTGCAATGCTGCAATGCTGAGCATCCATCATGTTCGCTTTCTTCTCAGGCTTTGACTCTGCTCCTCTTCCTCCTAGAAAATTCTTCCCCTCTTTACTTCCCCACTCTTACTCTCTTTTGTCAGGTTAAAATCTATTCGGGCTTCCCCTCTCAGCTGAAGCACCACGTCCTCCAGCAAGCCCTCTGTCCTTCCTTAACTCTTATGTTGTCCTCATGGAAGGCCTTGTGACACTCCACTGAAACTACCTTTTCTGTCTCTGAATCTAGATCTTGCACTGCTTTAAGGCAGCTACCGTGTTTTAAGCACCACTTTATTTCTAGCACCTGGCATCTGCACACAGAAGGGACTCAAGGAATATTTGATGGGTGAATGAATTAATTAATGAATTTCTGCATTGTCCTGCATATTTTCAGTGAATGGCTTGCTGTGTGGTAATGGGAACTATTAGAGGAAGTTATTTGTGGACTGGCATGAGCAGGTTTTCGCATCTCTGTGGGCCTTACAACATGAATGAGTTCAATTTTCCTAAGTCTGCTTGCAAAATTCCTAGGGCCTCAATGCTCAGGATGAAACTTTTGTTTTTGAGTAAGGCCCTCCAAAGATTCACCATCAACCTTGACTGATGAAGTATGTAACACTACTTTGGCTTAAATGTTTAAAACAATGATATTTTCTGTTCTCTGCATGTACCTATCCTAAGCCCCAAATATGGGGTCACTCATGGTCCCATGAAGTTTGTATGTTACAGAGCTGATGGCCACAAAGACACATTAGCCAACAGCTATAGGAGTGGAGCTTCTAGGAGACAAGATTCTGGTTCACAGCCATTATGACTATTCCTGAGGCTCTGAGGAGTGAGTCATACTCCTTGGCTGGGTTCACTTCCAGGTGAGAAAACCAATGAACCCCTGTTCATGCTACCTCACGTGGGAGCACAGTCTCCAGTACTGGGGTGGTTCAGAGAGGCAAGGATACAGCCTGAGAACACCTCAACAGGAGCAGTAAGCCAAAGTACAAGCTGTTGTTTATTTTATTTTAAATAAAGATTAATTCCCAAAATTTCAGGTGCATCTTTGAGAAATCTGTGCATACGAGCTGCAAATCTACTCATACATTCATATTTTGTATTTCATTCTCAAACCACAGTGAATAAATTTGGTAACTAGAGGATCCTACCCCTCTCCCAATTGCTCTGAGTCCCAAAAGAAGCAATCAGTGTTAATGCATTTCTATTTTTCAAACATGTAGATGTTTTAGCATAATGGTAATTATAGAGTAATGATTTCTTATCTTCCTATTTCCTGTTAATGTTATCAGGATGAAAATAACATTTTTAAAACCATGATCTTTAAAAAGGCTCATTTTTATTTTCAATTTAATGCATAATTATTAAACAAAAATTTTGGATAAATGAGCAAAATTTGAAAGAGTTGCAAACATGACTAATGCCTACATTTTGCAAAGTTTTCTTCCAGGTGTTCCTGGGTAGGACATTTTTAAAATACAGCTGTAATCAAGCTCTAGGTGCAGTCTGTAGCCTTTATTAAAAACTTAGCCTAGAAAATATTTTTGTTATAATACCATAATAATAATAGTTATTATTATTTTTTGAAATGGAGTCTCACTCTGTCACCCAGGCTGGAGTGCAGTGGCGCAATCTCGGCTCACTGCAACCTCCGCCCCCTGGGTTCAAGCGATTCTCCTACCTCAGCCTCCCTAGTAGCTGGGACTATAGGTGCCCACCACCACGCCCCGCTAATTTTTTGTATTTTTAGTAGAGACGGGGTCTCACCATGTTAGCCAGGATGGTCTCGATCTCCTGACCTTGTGATCCGCCCACCTCAGCCTCCCAACGTGCTGGGATTACAGACATGAGCCACCGCAGCCGGCTAATACCATAATTATTCATTGGTCTTCACAGACATAATTTTTAATGGCCATGTAATATTCTATTGACTTAATGCTGGGCATTAAATTGTTGACAATCTGTCACTTTTCCAAGCATCACTACAATAAATATCTCTCTTCCTTGTTTTCTTGTAATGACTTCCAATACCAATGTAGGTTGTTTTTAGTGATGATGATGGTTATTATCGTTTGCTTTTGTTTGGGCCCCCAATTCTGAGGCATCAGCTCTTTCTTCAGCAAATGGGATAGCTACCCTTTAAGAACAGCAAACCTTTATTGAGCATCAACTGGATTGCAGTTACTGGGTGTAAGAGCCTTTTGAAATCTGAGGGGAAGTTTGCATTGAAATGCTAGGGCCCTTGGGACTGGACATGAGCCAGGCCTTGTACAATCCATGCTCAGTGGAGATGGCTGCCTCTTGGCAAAGGACAGTGCCTGGCCACAGCTCCACTGCTAAGGGCAATGATGGTGACTCTTAGTACTGCACATCCTGTGCCATGGAAACTTAATATTCAAAAGTTCACCAACTTGAGGTTGATAAAGCCAGGATGCATTTTTAAAACATTTTAAAACCTTTTCAGAATGCAATAGGACATAAATAATAAAACAAGTAAACAAATTATCCCATTGAATACTATGGACACATCCACCCTGCAGAATCTGTGAGGATAAGCAGCCTTTCATATGCTTACCCACTTGTTGATTTATACCTACGGTTTTCATCATTGACTCTCTCATGCTTAATTTCCTCCTGTTTTCAATCTGAATCAACCTGTTTATGTCTAAAAGCCAGTAGCCTCATTGTATTACATAAGTGAGACAGGTCAGAGCTCAGGAGAGCTGCTGCATCTGGAGCAATAACGTATGAAGAAAGGAGTGGTTTGATAGAAAATGACCTTTTACTTTCAATTAAATTTGGCAAATAGAATACCCTCAAATTCACCCATAGTTCCAATTCCATAAAACAATCTCCCTTGTACGTTTCCTTCTAGGTTTCTTAACATGTAGATTATTTGTAACTAAAAATCATACTGTGCTATTATCCTGTTTTTCCTTATGCTTTCACAGTTAATCTTGTTTTACTGTTTTCCACTCCAGTCTGTAGACCAATGACTCTCAAAATGTGGTCCCTGGGCCAGGAGCATCAGGATCAGTTGGGAACTTGTTAGAAATTGCAAAACTGGTTCCCCTTCAGACCTACTGAACCAGCAGCTTTAGGGGCGGGGCCTATCCATCTGTGTTTATCAAGCTCTCCAGGTGGTGTGATGAATCCAGTGTAAGAATCACAGCTGTAGGCTGTCGTATTAAGCACCTCCAATGTGCCAGACATTCTTTTAACACTTGCTACCCAAAGTGGGGTCCTTGGAGCAGTGGCACAGTATCGCCTGGGAGCTTATTAGAAATTCAGAACCTCAGGCCCTTCCCAGACCTGCTGAACCAAAATCTGCAATTTTTTTTTTTTTTTTTGAGACGGAGTTTTGCTTTTGTTGCCCAGGCTGGAGTGCAATGGTGCCCTCTCGGCTCACCGCAACCTCTGCCTCCCAGGTTCAAGAGAGTCTTCTGCCTCAGCCTCCTGAGTAGCTGAGATTACAGGCATCTGCCACCATGCCCAGCTAATTTTTTTTTTTGTATTTTTAGTAGAGACGGGGTTTCACCATGTCGGCCAGGCTGGTCTCGTACTCCTGACCTCAGGTGATCTGCCCACCTCAGCTTCCCAAAGTGCTGAGATTACAGGCGTGAGCCACCCCGCCCAGCCCCAACGCTACATTTTAAGCGCAATATGAATCACCTGAATCTTGTTGTAATTCAGATTCTAAATAGGTGAGTTTGGAGTATGGCCTGAGAGTCTGCTCATTTCTAATGAGCGCTTAGGCGATGTGGATGCTGGTCGGTTTGCGGACTACACTAGGAATAACAAGTATGTGTTGGGTGATTTAATACTTTTACAAAATGCATGAACCTGAGCTTTTAAAAAAGGACCAGGTACTACACGTAAGCATCTTATAAGTTATGTGCTGGTCATAGCTTCCTTTCTGGATGAGAAAAATGAGACAGAGAGATGTACAGTGACTTCCCTGAGGTTGCACAGCTATTCCTGCTGGAGCCACGCACACAGGTATGTGACTCTTCACTGCTACAACTCGACTTCTACTGCATGATTTTGAACGTTGATTGAATTTAAAACACATTCAAAGGTGATAACTTTTGGGTGACTAAAAAGCAAATCAAAATCCAATCTGCTGGTGCCATAATCTTCTATTCTCTTAACATGCTTAGCATTTTTATCTCTATTTTTTGAGGTTTGCTAATATTTTATCATACAATTACCACATTCTCTTTAAATATGTGAATCTAAAGCTATTAGTTGTCTTATGAAGTGTGACTTTATCTTGAACATGACATTTTTCCAGAAGATTACATTTCCAGCTTTGCCCAGTGCTGCCGAGTCCTCTATTATTCCCCTCCAGGGGTAATAAACACACCTGAAACTGTTAGTGGCTTAGGCATCTTTTGATTAGAATCAGCTGCTATATTTCTGTGTGGATGTAAAGCATATCATTTTCTAAAGGGGGTGGTCAGAGGAAAATGCAGTTGCAGCTGCTTCTTAGTGTCTCATTCTGGAGTTAGCTTAATGTGCATGTGTTCGAAGCCTCCTGTCTGCTGTTGTGGTTTTGTGCAGAGCCTGGAGTAATGGATCCCAACCTCCTGGGAGGTGAGCTGGAGGAACAGCCAAAGTCCTGAAAGACCCATGTCATCACTGCTTTCTGTCCTGCTCTCTCAGCAAACACTCATTTTCTGAAAGGAATAGGTTTCATTCTCTACCTGTTACTGATGTGTCAGTCAGCTGCATGCAGCGTCTAAAGCTATTACCAAGGGAGGGGAGGGGGAAAAAAGCCCCACTGCACTTGTAAATTACATTTCATGTTAAACGATCTCATTACTTCCAAAGTAAGATGAAATACAATATAATTTTAGCATATGTCTTGGCAGCCCCTTCCTTTTTGATAGGGTGTGTTGGCGGTCGGGGGATGATGGATAAGTGGAGAGAAAGAGAGGCCCAGCTTGCTTCGTGTCATCAAGAGCTCAGTCAGTATTCAGTGATAAACATAAATAGATCATCTCGCCACCCCCGAGGCAGACTGGTGCATTTATCCGGACTGATAACCGAGGGGGTTCACAATACAGGCAATTGCAACACCAAGCTAAAGAAATGCAGAGGAGGATTCCATCGGACACGGTTGGCATCAATAACTCGCTGCTTGTCTGGGAAAGAGGTTGGTACATTCCTTCCTCAGAGCTTACTGCCCAACAAAGGCCAACCCCTCCTCTAATGGGCAGCACACTGACCCACACACCGTGTGTCTGTGCAAGTCTCAGTGGCCTGGACTTTTAAAAATGAGGTCTATGGGACTCATGGACACAGATCCCGTTGTTATTCCTCAGAAAGGGGATGTGCATTTGCTGAGAATCCATAATGAACACTCTCCTAGCATTATATCACCTGATTACCACCCAATTCTATTTACAGTGTGCTGAGCAAGGCAGAAAGGTAGTATTTGCCTTTGTGCTCTAATTCAGACACTCTGGTTATTCACACTGATTGCCACCAGATAAGGCAACCACAATCTAAAGACCTGCTTCAGGGAAGTTGGTAAACTGTCCTGTTGCTTTTTCCTCCCCTCTAGATTGTGTTCCCTAACTGCAGCTGGATTCTGAGCCACTAGGGCAAGCATTGTGTCCTGAGGGCTTCTGGTTTGGGTTTGTTTCCCACCCCTAACCTACCCCCCTCCGCCGCCGCCCCACATACTATGTGTATATACAGTGACTTATCCACAGTAAATACGTGAATACCTATTTAAATCTTCATAGAGAGTTCTGGTTATGTCGCTATTTATTCGACAATCTCGAATGCCTTCTCATGTTCTAAAGAATCAGGATCTAACTCCCTGACATGCCATACCAACGCCTTGATGTGACCTCAATCCCATTTTTGCCACCTATTCCTTTCCCCTGTGAACGAGTCAAACCGAAAGACTCAGTGTTTCAAAAGCTTTGCAGTTTTCTCTTGTGATGACATTTCCCTCTGCAGGGAATTTTCTTTCTCCCATCTATCAAAATTCTTCCTGCTTTTCAAATTCCAGTTCTGTTGCTGTCTTCCGCTTGAAGCCCTTCCCGAACCCCCAGTTTCCTCCAGAAGACCGTTGGCTACACAATTACTAACATAGATGCTTTGAGCCATTCCCATCCTGCTGCCCAACACAGCATTCTATCTGTGCTATTTCAGCTGTTCTAAAATCACTAGAGAGCCACTCTACCCCTCTGAAGATAGAATGGGCACATTTGTGAAAGAAAAGCAGGCAAACTGCAGATGAATTACTTTCTGCAGTGGTAGTGTTAAGGACTGGGGGGACTTGATGTGTTCTGAGCCCATTATGAAAAGAGGGGGTAGTAGAATTAAGTGGGGGCAGGAGGGTGAAGGTCTCATGTGACACAAGAGGACTTCTCCAGAGCCAGCTGTGTGGAGGGCTCCTAGAAGTTGCAGAGCACTTGAGAATATGACCATAGAGGGTGTCTGTTTTCTTGGCTTCTATGAAGTTTACTATGCTAAAAAATTATGTATTATGTTATAAAGTATAATAATCAGACACTCATAACCCCACTGCCCAACTTAAAAAAATAGAGCATTACAGAAACTATTCACACTTTCTGCATATTTTCTCAATTCTCTCTCCCTATCCACTCCAAAACCCTCCATCACCTGTCCTGCCCCACCAAATATAGTAACCAATATTCTGAAATTTATTATTCCATTGCTCTCATTATAGTTTTATCACTTAAGTATTTGTGTTTAATATCTTTATTTCATTTTTTTCTTGTTTTGTACTTTGTATAAAATGGCATCATATGGCTTGTATTTTTTTTAACTCAGATCATACTTTATAGATTCATCTCTCTTCATGTGTGTAGTTATAATTCATTTATTTGTATCTCTACATAGTATTCTCTTTGAGTACACCACAATTATCTGTTCATTATCGATGGGTACCTGGGTTATTCCCACCTTGCCATTATGAACACTGCTACTACTTAATATTCTTTGACACATCTACCTGGTCGTAAGTGCCAGAGTCAACACCATACCTGGATTTTACATTTTTATGTGGCATAATGCAGGGATAAATTCAATCTTTTTCTCAGATTAAAAATAAATCCTAACACTATTTATTAAATAATCCCTTCTTTCCCCAGAGATATGTCCAATTTCATAAATGTGTGGGTCTGTTTCTTAGCTTTTAATTGGTCTATTTTCCATCCACTCACTAAAATCCCTGTCATAATTAGGATTTATTTATGGTAAGTCTTGATATCTAGTAGTGAAGTCTATTCGGTTCCTCCTGGTCTTTTGCTTTTTTACATCCATTTAAAATTTGGCATGTTAGATGAATGATGGAACAAAAGGAACTAGATTTACTCTTCCATCTTAATACTTGAACATGGGTCATAGTAAAAATGTAATGAGAGTTCTCAGGTATTTGGAGAATAGAGATCATGGTACAGGGATCCCTGAGAGCAAGGAGAAAAACTAGGTGTCCCCTTAAAGTGCCACCATTTTCAGGCCAAAACACAAGGAAGGGTAATCCAGAGTCCATCAGCCTGGCTCCATTGATGTTCAGAAAAGCTAAGGTAGCTAGAATTTATGGAGGAAAATCCTAGAAAGGCAACTGAAAAGAGAGAGTGCTCCAAAGACCTTCTGATGTGTCCCCTGGAGTCTTTGAGCACTGATCTGCAACACGTGAAGAAACTACTGGGACTGGGGGAAAAAAACACCGGAAAGAAAGAGGAAGAAAAATTTCCATAGCTCACATGAGGCCAAGGACAGTTTTCATTCCCATCAGTTAGAGTGGAAAGACTTCCTAATAGACATGGCATTGGCAAGCATCATAAAAGAATAGTGTCTCAGGAGTTGGGGTCATGTTAGCCCTAGCTGAAAAGCTGTTGTGGATCTGCTATAACAAAGCTTAGAAACAAAATGTGAATGGATAAAACTGATTACAAATAACTTCACTGCATCCCCAAAATGGCCGAACAATATTTAAAAGAATGCCACAAAATCTAGTCCCCAAAGTAAAAAGTCGTCATGCCTGGCATCTAATAAAAAATTACCAAGCATGAAATGTGACTTGTACCCAGAGGAGAACTCAGTCTCAACCAATAGAAACAGACCCAGAATTGACACAGATGATAGAATCAGTAGACAAACACATTGAAACAGTTATTAGAAATATGGCCGGGCCTGGTGGCTCACGCCTGTAATCCCAGCACTTTGGGAGGCTGAGGCGGGCAGATCACTTTGAGGTCAGGAGTTAGAGACCAGCCTGGCCAACATAGTGAGACCCCGTGTCTACTAAAAATACAAAAAACTAGCCGGGCGTGGTGGTGGGTGCCTGTAATGGCAGCTACTCGGGAGGCGGAGGCAAGAGAATCGCTTGAACCGGGGAGGTGGAAGTTGTGGTGAACCGAGACTAGGCCATTGTACTCCAGCCTGGGCGACAGTGCGAGACTGCATCTCAAAAAACAAACAAACAAACAAACAAAAAACACCACATAGGCTCAAGAAGATCTGCCCGTGTGCTAAGGAGAGAAATAGAAGATATAAAAAAGACCCAAATCGAACTTTTAAAGATAAATGCAACAACCGAAATAAAAAATATCCTGTATGGGATTAGCAGGAGATTAGATACAGAAGAGGAAAAGTTGGCGCATCTATAGCAATAAAAACTACCCAAAATAAAAGACAAAGACTAAAAACAATGAATGAAGAGCATCAGGGAACTACGGAACAATGTCGAGTAGCCTAAATGCATGTAATTTGAATACCAGAAAAGGAGTGGGGAGAAAAAAATGTTTGAAACAATAACTTCAGAATATTTTTCAAACGAATACTGGAAACAGACCAAAGTAGCTCAATGGAAGCCAAGCAGGACACACATGAAGAAAACAAATGCCAGAGCATGTCATAACCCAATGGCCAAAAATAATGAAAAAGAGAAAATCTTAAAAGCAGTCAGGAAAAAAGATATACACAGAGGAACACAACTAAGAATTGTAGCAGACTTATCATCAGAAACAATGAAAGCCAGAATGCTGTGGAGTGACATTTTAGATTATTGAAAGAAAAATTGAAAACTCAACCTAGAATTCCATAGCCAGAAAAACAAAGCATTCAGTAATTAAGGCAAAATTGAGATCTTTCAGACAGAAAAAAGCTACACGAATTAACTGCCGGCAGAATAGCAATACAAAAATGTTACATTATTCAGACTGAAACTTGAAAATCTGAGACAGGTCTCACTTAATTTAGAAAGTTTATTTTGTGGAAGCTGAGGATGCCCACCCATAATACAGCCTCAGGAAGTCCTGACGACATGTACCAAGGTGGTAGAGGCACAGTTTGGTTTTATACATTTTAGGGAGACATAAGACATCAATCAGTATATGTAAGAAGCACATTGGTTCTGTCCAGAAAGGCAGGGACAACTCGAAGCAGGGAGAGGGCTTCCAGGTCACAGGAAGGTGAAAGCCAAGTAGTTGCATTCTTTTGAGTTTCTGATAAGCCTTTCCAAAGGAGGCAATTAGATATGCATCTATGTCAGTGAGCAGAGGGATGACTTTCAATAGAATGGGAAGCAGGTTTGCCCTGAGCAGTTCCCAGCTTCACTTTTCCCTTTAGCTTAGTAGTTTTGGGGCCCCAAGATTTTCCTTTCACAAGACAGAAGGAAAATGATGCTAGATGCGTATTGGGATCTATACAAATAAATGAAGAGAACTAGAAATGATTAATATCTGTGAAAATATAACATTTTCTAACACAAAAAATTTAAAAAATTGTTTAAAGCAAGAATGATAATGTGTCTATAGCATGTATAAAATTAAAATGCACGATAGTAGCCGCACAAATGCCAAGAGGAGGAAATGGGAGAATATTTTTGTAATGTTTCATACTCTATGTGAAGTGATACGGTATTATTCGTAAGAAAACTTTTGTAAATTGAAGGGTGTATATTATAAACGCTATATGGATCAGTAAAAAAAAATACAACTAATGGCTCTGTTATGGAAATCAAAAGGAATATAAAAATGTTCCTTTTGTATAGAAAGTCAGAAAGGGTAGGGGAGAAGAAACTATGGGGGTGAGAATAGGAAACAACTTTGAAGATGGTAGACTTAAGCAATATTGATAATCACAGTACATGTAAATGGTCTAAGCAACCAAATTTAAGACAGGGGAATGGGAAGTTGCTGTTTAATATGTGTAGAGCTTCTGTTTATTATTATTATTATTATTATTATTAAATGGTGGTAAGATATGCATAATTTAAAATTTACCATCAGAACAATTTCTAATCATGCAGTTTAATGGTGTTAAGTACATTTACACTTCTGTACGGCCAATCATCAGAACTCTTAATTTTACAAAACTGAAACTCTGTGCTCTTAACTCCCCATCCCTTATCCCTCCTCCCCGAAGCCCCGACAGCCACCATTCTACTTTCTGTCTCTGTGAATTTGACTACTCTACGCACCTCACATAAATAGAATCATACAGCATTCGTCTTCTCATGACTTCTTACTTCATTTAGTAGAACCAAGGGTCATCCATGTTGTAGCATGTGTCAGAATTTCCTTTTTTTTTTTTTTTTTGAGATGGAATCTCGCCTGTCCTTCAGGCTGGAGTACAGTGGTGAGATCTCAGCTCACTGCAGCCCCTGCCTCCTGGGTTCACGCGTTTTCCTGCTTCAGCCTCTGTAGTACCTAGGACTACAGGCACCTGCTACCACACCTGGCTAATTTTTGTATTTTTAGTAGAGACGGGGTTTTACCACGTTGGCCAGGCTGGTCTCCAACTCCTGACCTCAGGTGACCTACCTGCCTCAGCCTCCCAAAGTACTGGTATTACAGGCGTGAGCTATGGCGCCCAGCCAAGAATTTCACTCCTTTTCAAGGCTGAATAATATTTCATTTCATGTATATACCATACTTTGTTTATCCATCTGTCAATGGACACTTGGGTTGCTTCCATGTTTGTCTATTGTAAATAATTCTGACATTGTCTGTTGTAAATCTGAGAAGCACGCTCTGCTCTTAGCTTTAAAATGTTCTTTATTCTTATGTGAGCTTAATTTGCTATTTTTGTTTCTTAGAGTTTAGATCATTCAAGACTTTTCTTGTAAGCTTTTAATACTGTAAATTTCCTTCTATTTTCTATTTTTTGGTGAACCCCACTACTTTTAATAACATATTTTCATTTCTGTTAAAAATGTTTTCTAATTTCTGTGGTAATTTTCTCTGGCTTATGAGTTATTTAGAGGTGAGTTCAAATTCTAAATATTTGGAGATTTTTCCAAATATATTTCTGTTATCAATCTCTAGCTTAATTTCTTTATGGTCAGAAAATATACAATGTGTTATTTCAGTGTTTTTAAATTTATTGGGGCTGGGCGCAGTGGCTCACGCCTGTAATCCCAGCACTTTGAGAGACTGAGGCAGGTGGATCACTTGAGGTCAGGAGTTCGAGACCAGCCTGCCAAACATGGTGAAACCCCATCCCTACTAAAAATATGAAAATTAGAAGGGCATGATGGCATGTGCCTGTAATCCCAGCTACTTGGGAGGCTGAGGCAGGAGGGTCACTTGAACCTGGGAGGTAGAGGTTGCAGTGAGCCAAGATCTCACCACTGCACTCTAGCCTGGGTGACAGAGTGAGACTCCATCACAATAAATAAATACATAATAATAATAAATTTATTGGGAATTGTTTTATGGCCCAGAAAAGGGTCTGTGTTGGAAAATGTTCTGTGTGAATTTGAAAATATTATTTGCTGGGCTGTTATTAGGTAACTAGTTCTATAATAAATATGTGAAATATAATCTCTTTTTCTGACTTTAAAATTTTAGTTGAAATTATTCAAGTCTGCTTGAATAAGATACTCATATGCAAAGAATGCATTTCCAACCATACCTCACAGAATATGCAAAACTGAACTCAAATTGGATCATACACCTAAATATAAATTTAAAAATATAAAAATTATTATTATTATTTTTTAATTGAGACCGAGTGGAGTGCAGTGGCGCAATCTCGGCTCCCTGCAACCTCCGCCTCCCGGGTTCAAGTGATTCTTCTTCTGCCTCGGCCTCCTGAGTAGCTGGGATTATAGGCACCCGCCACCATACCCAGCTAATTTTTGTATTTTTAGTAGAGACGCGGTTTTACCATGTTGGCCAGGTTAGTCTTGAACTCTGACCTCAGGCGATCCGCCCGCCTCGGGCTCCGAAAGTGCTGGGATTACAGGTGTGAGCCACGCACCTGGCCTAAAAGTGTAAACATTCTGAAAGAAAATTTTGTAAACTTGGAGTGGGCAAACATTTATTAGAGATAACCCCAAAAGACAATACATAAAAGGAAAAAAAAGATTAAACTTGGTCAAAATTTAAAACTTTTGCTTTCAAAAATTCTATTAAGAGAATGAAAAGACAAGCCACAGACTAGGAGAAAACATTTGTAAATCACATACCTAATAAAGTAATTGTATCCAGAATATGTGAAAAACTTTTGAAACCCAGCAATGGGCAAACAACCCAACTAAATAAATGGGCAAATGATTTGAATAGACATTTCACCAAAGAAGATAGATGGATTGCAATAAGTACATGAGAAGATACTCGGCATCATCCATCAACCTTTATTTAGTTTTCTCATTTAAGCTGTCTTAGTAGAGATTTGCAAATTTAGATTCAGTGCATCTTCCTGGGGAACAAAATTTTATATGCTTACCCTTCTAATCTTGACTAATGATTTTCACCTTAAAATTTACTTTGTCTGATATTAATACAGTTACACCAGATTTCTTTAGTATGTACATGAAATATTTTTCAATCATTTTATTTTTCAATCATTTCTCTCAATTTTAGGCATCCTTTACATAAATAGACAGTTCAATTATCTTTTAAATCATGTCAGAAATCACTGACTTTTAACAGGAGATTTCACTTTATTCTCATTTATTGTGATGAAATATTTGGCTTTATATAATTTTGTGTATTCTACTTGTCATACTTCTCCAGTTTCTTTTTGTATCTTCTTTGCCTTATTTTTAATTAGATTCTTTGTTCATTTTTTACTTTGCATTAGTTTGAAGATTTATTTCCAATTTTATTATTTTAGTGGTTATCCTTAAAGTTATAACACCGATAATTAAGTCTAATATTTACCCTCCTCCTGACCAATACAAGAACTTTAGAACATGTTAACATCAGTCTTCCTCTTCCAGCCTGGGTGTTATTGTTGTCCAGGTATTTAGCTTCATCTTGTTGCATTTTAACTCCATAAACTAGAAACAATTACTCTTTTATGCAGTTCGTTTCGACATCCACACGTTAACTATTTTCTTTTGTCTCCATTCCTTCTTGTATTTTCTTGAATATAAATCTTTAGATTGAGAAATGATAGCTCACAACTCCTTTTTTCTTCATCTGAAAACACACTTATTTCAACCTCAGTTTTTATATATCCAACTTTTAAGTTCTGGGATACATGTGCAGAATGTGCAGGTTTGTCACATAGGTATACATGTGCCATGGTGGTTTGCTGCACCTATTGACCCATCCTCTAAGTTCCCTCCCCTCGGCCCCCACCCCCACAACAGGCCCTGGTGTGTAATGTTCCCCTCCCTGTGTCCACATGTTCTCATTGTTCAACTCCCACTTACGAATGAGAACATGTACTGTTTGGTTTTCTGTTCCTGTATTAGTTTGCTGAGGATGATGGCTCCCAGCTTCATCCAAGTCCCTGCAAAGGACATGATCCCATTGCTTTTTGTGGCTGCATGGTATTCCCTGGTGTGTATTACCACATTTTCTTTATCCGGTCTATCATTGATAGGTATTTGGGTTGATTCCATGACTTTGCTATTGTAAATAGTGCTGCAATAAACATAGTGTGCATGTGTCTTTATAGTAGAATAATTTATATTCCTTTGGGTATATACCCAACAATGGTATCGCTGGGCCAATTTGTAATTCTGGTTCTAGATCCTTGAGGAATCTCCACACTGTCTTCCACAATGGTTGAATGAATTTACATTACGACCAATGTGTGAAAATGCTCCTATTTCTCCACGGCCTCACCAGCATCTGTTGTTTCTTGCCTTTTTAATAATTGCCATTCCGACTGGTGAGAGATCGTATCTCATTGTGGTTTTGATTTGCATTTATCTAATCAGTGATGTTGAGCCTTTTTTTCATACGTTTGTTGGCTGCATAAATGTCTTTTCTTTTTTTTTTTTTTTTTGAGACGGAGTCTCGCTCTGTCGCCCAGGCTAGAGTGCAGTGGCGTGAACTCGGCTCACTGCAAGCTCCGCCTCCCTGGGTTCACACCATTCTCCTGTCTCAGCCTCCCAAGTAGCTGGGACTACAGGTGCCAGCCACCACGCCCGGCTAGTTTTTGTATTTTTAGTAGAGAAGGGGTTTCACCGTGTTAGCCAGGATGGTCTCGAACTCCTGACCTCGTGATCCACCCGCCTCGGCCTCCCAAAGTGCTGGGATTACAGGCGTGAGCCACTGCGCCTGGCTGTAAATGTCTTTTTTTGAGAAGTATCTGTTCATATCCTTTGCCTGCTTTTTTGATGGGGTTGTTTGTTTTCTTGTAAATTTAAGTTCCTTGTAAATTATGGATATTTGACCTTTGTCAGATGGGTAGATTGCAAACATTTTCTCCCATTCTGTAGGTTGCCTGTTCATTCTGATGATAGTTTCTATTGCTGTGCAGAAGCTCTTTAGTTTAACTAGATCCCATTTGTCAATTTTGGCCTTTGTTGCAATTGCTTTTAGTGTTTTCTTCATGAAGTCTTTGCCCATGCCTATGTCCTGAATGGCATTGCCTAGGTTTTTTTCTAGGGTTTTTCTGGTTTTGGGTTTTACATTTAAGTCTTTAATCCATCTTGAGTTAACTTTTGTATGAGGTGTAAGGAAGGGGTCCAGTTTCTGTTTTCTGCATATGGCTAGCCAGTTTTCCCGGTATCACTTATTGAATAGGTGATCCTTTCCCCATTGCTTGTTTTTGTCAGGTTTGTTGAAGATCAGATGGTTGTGGATGTGTGGTGTTATTTCTGAGATTTCTGTTCTGTTCCATTGGTCTATATGTCTGTTTTTGTACCAGTACCATGCTGTTTTGGTTACTGTAGCCTTGTAGTATAGTTTGAAGTCTGGTAGCATGATGTCTCCAGCTTTGTTCTTTTTGCCTAGGATTGTCTTGGCTGTTGTGGGGTCTTCTTTGATTCTATATGAAATTTAAAGTAGTGTTTTTTTCTAATTCAGTGAAGACTGTCAATGGTAGTTTGGGAATAGCATTGAATCTGTAAATTAGTTTTGTCAGTGTGGCCATTTTCATAATATTGATTCTTCCTGCCCATGAGAATGGAAAGTTTTTCCATTTGTTTGTGTCCTCTCTTATTTCTTTGAGCAGTGGTTATATGGAAATTGAACAGCCTGCTCCTGAATGACTCCTGGGTAAATAATGAAATTAAGGCAGTTCTTTGAAACCAATGAGAACAAAAAGACAGTGTACCAGAATCTCTGGGACACAGCTAAAGCAGTGTTAAGCAGGAAATTTATAGCACTAAATGCCCACATCAGAAAGCTAGAAAGATCTCAAATCAACATCCTAACACCACAATTAAAAGAGCTACAGAGACAAGAGCAAACTAATCCAAAAGCTAGCAGAAGATGAGAAATAACCAAAATCAGAGCAAAATTGAAGGAGGTGGAGACATGAAAAACCCTCCAAAAAAATCAATCCAGGAGCTAGTTTTTTGAAAATAATAACAAAATAGACAGACAGCTAGCTAGACTAATAGAGAAAAGAAAGGAGAATCAAATAGACACAATAAAAAATTATAAGGGGGATATCACCACTGACCCCACAGAAATGCAAACTACAATCAGAGAATACTATAAACACCTCTATGCCAATAAACTAGAAAATCTAGAAGAAATAGTTAAATTCCTGGACACGTACGCCCTCTCAAAACTAAACCAGGAAGAAGTTGAATCCCTGAATAGACCAATAACAAGTCCTGAAATTGAGGTAGTAATTAATAGTCTACCAACCAAAAAAAGCCCAGAACCAGATGGATTCACAGCCAATTTCTACCAGAACTACATAGAGGAGCTGGTACCATTCCTTCTGAAATATCCAACTTTTTATTATGAAAATGTTTAAAATACTGATAAGGGAACACAAAGAAAAATAGTACAAGTAGATTTTTAAAAATTAATTTTGTTTACTGAAACATCTGAAAGTAAGCTGCAAATGTTACGACATTTCATTCTTAAATATTTTGGCATGCATCTCTTAAAAATGAGATTCTTCTATAAAACCACAATACCACTATCACACTGAAGAAAAATTAATGATTCCATGATATCATCTCATCAGAATTTTTCAGTTGCTTCCAACATAATAGCTTGTTTTTTTTTCTAATTTTGTTGCCTTATAATCAGGTTCACATATTTGGTTATTAAATCTCTTTTAACTTAAAACTGTCCTTTTACTTTTAAAAAATAAGTTGACATTTTTGAATGTAGTTTTCTTAAACATATTCTAGATTTGTCACATTCTGGGTTTGTCTGACTTTCTCATGACATTAGAGATGCTAAGTATAAACACTTGATTAGGGCTCAGCCTAATTCCTGAAAGATACTGGCTCACAGTGGCTGGGCATGGTGGCTCACGCCTGTAATCCCAGCACTTTGGGAGGCCAAGGCAGGCTCATCACGAGGTCAGGAGATCGAGACCATTCTGGCTAACAAGGTGAAACCCCATCTCTGCTAAAAATACAAAAAATTAGCCGGGCCTGGTGGCGGGTGCCTGTAGTCCCAGCTACTTGGGAGGCTGAAGCAAGAGAATGGCGCGAACCCGGGAGGCAGAGCTTGCAGTGAGCCGAGATCATGCCACTGCACTCCAGCCCAGGTGACAGAGCGAGACTCTATCTCAAAAAAAAAAAAAAAAAAAAAAAAAAAGATACTGGCTCACAGTTACAAATTTCTAGGTAGGTATCATTTCCCCCAGTACTTTGAAAACATTATTTCAACACTTTCTTGATGATTTCAAGATATTTTTCTTCGGTGTTCTATAACTTAACTATGTTGTATCTAGTTGTGGGGTTCTTTATTTTCTTTTCTATTCATTGGGTTTCTTGAATCTTAAAATTTATCTTTTCACCACTATGGAAAATTGAAACCATTATCTTTTCAAATATTGCCTCTCCTCCACCTCTGACATCTAGTTGGATGGTTTTCAGACATTATGGCTCAGTCTTTCATGCCTGTAATCTCACATCTTCCAACTCTTAACCTAGATCCTAGATGCATGCTGAAATATTTAACAGCATAATGCTATGATATTTCCACTTTACTTTCAAATGGCTCAGGGAAAAAAGTGTGTGTGTGTGTGTGTGGGTGTGTGTGTGTGTGTGTGTGTACAAACTGTTTTTTTCTTACTTTTTGCTATTCTTTCAACCATTCTATATTTTAAACCTTTTCATAATAAAAAGTGGAAAATATAAAGAGTGAGAATGAAATAAGAATATTCTTCGAATTCCTAGCCAGAGTAATCAGACAAGAGAAAGAAATAAAGGGCATCCAAATTAGGAAGAAGTCAAATTATCCTTGTTTGCAGATATGATCTTATATTTGGCAAAACCTAAAGACTTCACCAAAAAACTATTAGAACTGATAAAGAAATCCAGTAAAGTTGCAGGATACAAAATCAACATATAAAAATCGGTAGCATTTCTATATACCAACAGTGAACGATCTAAAAAGAAATTTAAAAAGTAACCCCATTTCCAGTAGCCACAAATAAAATCAAATACCTAGAAATTAACCAAAGAAGTGCAAGATCCCTGCAATGAAAACTATAAAGTACTGAAAGAAATTGAAGAGAGGGTACAAAATAATGGAAAGAGATTTCATGTTCATAAATTGGAAGAATCAATATTGTTAAAATGTTCATACTACCCAAAGCAATCTACAGATTCAGTACAATCCCTATCAAAATACCAATGACATTCTTCACAGAAATAGGAAAAAAAATTCTAAAACGTATATGAGACCACAGAAGACCCAGATAGCCTAAGCTATCCTGACTAAAAAGAACAAAACTGGAGGAATCAAATTATCTAACTTCAAATTATACTACAGAACTATAGTAACTACCCTACAGAGCTATAGTAACTACCCTACAGAGCTATAGTAACTAAAACAGAATGGTACTGGCTTAAAAATGGACCATAGACAAATGGAACAGAATAGAGAACCAGTAAACAAATCCATACACCTACAGTAAACTCATTATCAACAAAGATGCCAAGAACCTACACTGGGGGAAAAACAGTCTCTTCAATACATGGTGCTGGGAAACCAGGATATCCAAATGCAAAAGACTGAAACTAGACCTCTATCTCTCTCCATGTATAAAAATCGAAATGGGTAGGTTGTGAACATTTTCTCCCATTTTGTAGGTTGCCTATTCACTCTGATGGTAGTTTCTTTTGTAGTGCAGAAGCTCTTTAGTTTCATTAGATCCCATTTGTCAATTTTGGCTTTTGTTGCCCTTGCTTTTGGTGTTTTAGACATGAAGTCCTTGCCCATGCCTATGTCCTGAATGGTAATGCCTAGGTTTTCTTCTAGGGTTTTTATGGTTTTAGGTCTAACGTTTAAGTCTTTAATCCATCTTGAATTAATTTTTGTATAAGGTGTAAGGAAGGGATCCAGTTTCAGCTTTCTACTTATGGCTAGCCAGTTTTCTCAGCACCATTTATTAAATAGGGAATCCTTTCCCCATTGCTTGTTTTTCTCAGGTTTGTCAAAGATCAGATAGTTGTAGATATGCAGCGTTATTTCTGAGGGCTCTGTTCTGTTCCATTGATCTATATCTCTGTTTTGGTACCAGTACCATGCTGTTTTGGTTACTGTAGCCTTGTAGTATAGTTTGAAGTTAGGCAGCGTGATGCCTCCAGCTTTGTTCTTTTGGCTTAGGATTGCCTTGGTGATGCGGGCTCTTTTTTGGTTCCATCTGAACTTTAGTTTTTTCCAATTCTGTGAAGAAAGTCATTGGTAGCTTGATGGGGATGGCATTGAATCTATAAATTACCTTGGGCAGTATGGCCATTTTCACGATATTGATTCTTCCTACCCATGAGCATGGAATGGCCTTCCATTTCTTTGTATCCTCTTTTATTTCATTGAGCAGTGGTTTGTAGTTCTCTTTGAAGAGGTCCTTCACGTCTTTTGTAAGTTGGATTCCTAGATATTTTATTATCTTTGAAGCAGTTGTGAATGGGATTTCACTCATGATTTGGCTCTCTGTTTGTCTGTTATTGGTGTATAAGAATGCTTGTGATTTTTGTACATTGATTTTGTATCCTGAGACTTTGCTGAAGTTGCTTATCAGCTTAAGGAGATTTTGGGCTGAGACAATGGATTTTCTAGATATACAATTCATGTCATCTGCAAACAGGGACAATTTGACTTCCTCTTTTCCTAATTGAATACCCTTTATTTCCTTCTCCTGCCTAATTGCCCTGGCCAGAACTTCCAACACTATGTTGAATAGGAATGGTGAGAGAGGGCATCCCTGTCTTGTGCCAGTTTTCAAAGGGAATGCTTCCAGTTTTTGCCCATTCAGTATGATATTGGCTGTGGGTCTGTCATAGATAGCTCTTATTATTTTGAGATATGACCCATGAACACCTAATTTATTGAGAGTTTTTAGCATGAAGCGTTGTCAAATTTTGTCAAAAGCCTTTTCTGCATCTATTGAGATAATCATGTGGTTTTTGTCTCTGGTTCTGTTTATATGCTGGATTACATTCATTGATTTGCGTATATTGAACCAGCCTTGCATCCCAGGGATGAAGCCCACTTGACCATGGTGGATAAGCTTTTTGATGTGCTGCTGGATTCGGTTTGCCAGTATTTTATTGAGAATTTTTGCATCAATGTTCATCAAGGATATTGGTCTAAAATTCTCTTTTTTGGTTGTGTCTCTGCCTGGCTTTGGTATCAGGATGACGCTGGCCTCATAAAATGAGTTAGGGAGGATTCCCTCTTTTTCTATTGATTGGAATAGTTTCAGAAGGAATGGTACCAGTTCCTCCTTGTACCTCTGGTAGAATTCGGCTGTGAATCCATCTGGTCCTGGACTCTTTTTGGTTGGTAAGCTATTGATTATTGCCACAATTTCAGAGCCTGTTATTGGTCTATTCAGAGATTCAACCTATTCCTGGTTTAGTCTTGGGAGGGTGTATGTGTCGAGGAATTTATCCATTTCTTCTAGATTTTCTAGTTTATTTGCGTAGAGGTGTTTGTAGTATTCTCTGATGGTAGTTTGTATTTCTGTGGGATCGGTGGTGATGTCCCCTTCATCATTTTTTATTGCGTCTATTTGATTCTTCTCTCTTTTTTTCTTTATTAGTCTTGCTAGCGGTCTATCAATTTTGTTGATCCTTTCAAAAAACCAGCTCCTGGATTCATTAATTTTTTGAAGGGTTTTTTGTGTCTCTATTTCTTTCAGTTCTGCTCTTATTTCAAAGGGCTAATATCCAGAATCTACAATGAACTCAAACAAATTTACAAGAAAAAAACAACCCCATCAAAAAGTGGGCGAAGGACATGAACAGACACTTCTCAAAAGAAGACATTTATGCAGCCAAAAAACACATGAAAAAATGCTCACCATCACTGGCCATCAGAGAAATGCAAATCAAAACCACAATGAGATAACATCTCACATGAGTTAGAATGGCAATCATTAAAAAGTCAGGAAACAACAGGTGCTGGAGAGAATGTGGAGAAATAGGAACACTTTTACACTGTTGGTGGGACTGTAAACTAGTTCAACCCTTGTGGAAGTCTGTGTGGCAATTCCTCAGGGATCTAGAACTAGAAATACCTTTTGACCCAGCCATCCCGTTACTGGGTATATACCCAAAGGACTATAAATCATGCTGCTATAAAGACACATGCACACGTATGTTTATTGTGGCACTATTCACAATAGCAAAGACTTGGAACCAACCCAAATGTCCAACAATGATAGACTGGATTAAGAAAATGTGGCACATATACACCATGGAGTACTATGCAGCCATAAAAAATGATGATTTCATGTCCTTTGTAGGGACATGGATGAAATTGGAAATCATCATTCTCAGTAAACTATCACAAGGACAAAAAACCAAACACCACATGTTCTCACTCATAGGTGGGAATTGAACAATGAGAACACATGGACACAGGAAGGGGAACATCACACTCTGGGGACTGTTGTGGGGTGGGGGGAAGGGGGAGGGATAGCATTAGGAGATATACCTAATGCTAAATGACGAGTTAATGGGTGCAGCACACCAGCATGGCACATGTATACATATGTAACTAACCTGCACAATGTGCACATGTACCCTAAAACTTGAATTATAATAATAATAAAATAAACCAAAAATCGAAACGGATTAAAGACTTAAATCTGAGACCTCAAACTGCGAAACTATTACATGAAAATACAGGAAGTTCTCCAGGACATTGGGCAAAAATTTCTCGAATAATAAGTCACAAGCACAAATTTCTTAAGTAATAACCAAAGCAAAAGTGAACAAGTAGGATCATAACAAGTTAAAAAGCTTCTGTGTAGCAAGGGATACAACCAACAAAGTGAAGAGACAACCCACAGAATGGGAGAAAATATCCACAAACTGCCCATCTGAAAAGGGATCAATAACCAAAATATGTATGGAGCTCAAACTATAGGAAAAAAACTACCAATCTGATGGCAAAAATGAGCAAAAGATCTGAATAGACATTTTTCAAAAGACATACAGATGGCAAGCAGGCGTATGAAAAGGTGCTCAACATCATCAATCATCAGAGAAATACACATAAAAACTACGATGAGATACCATCTCCACCCAGTTAAAATTGTTTTATTTTTTTTTTAAAAACAGGCAATAAGGGCCGGGCGCGGTGGCTCACGCCTGTAATCCCAGCACTTTGGGAGGCCGAGGCGGGTGGATCATGAGGTCAGGAGATCGAGACCATCCTGGCTAACAAGGTGAAACCCCGTCTCTACTAAAAATACAAAAAATTAGCCGGGCGCGGTGGCGGGCGCCTGTAGTCCCAGCTACTCGGGAGGCTGAGGCAGGAGAATGGCGTGAACCCGGGAGGCGGAGCTTGCAGTGAGCCGAGATTGCGCCACTGCAGTCCGCAGTCCGGCCTGGGCGACAGAGCGAGACTCCGTCTCAAAAAACCAAAAAAAAAAACCAAAAAAAAAAAAACAAAAAAAAAACAAACAAAAAAAAAACAGGCAATAAATGCTGGTGAGAATGTGAAGAAAAGGGAACCCTTGTACACTGTTAGTCAAAATATAAATTAGTACAACCACTATGGAGAACAGGTTGGATGGAGATTCCTCAAAAAACTAAAAGTAGAGCTACCATACAATCCAGCAACCCCTCCACTGGGTGTATACTCAGAAGAAAAGAAATCAGTATATCTAAGAGATATCTACACTTCCACATCTGTTTGTAGCGTTGTTCACAATAGCTAAGATTTGGAAGTAACCTAACTGTCCATCAACAGATGAATGGGTAAGAAAAATGTGGTACATATACACAACAGAGTGCTATTCAGCCATAAAAAAGAATGAGATCCTGTCATTTGCAAAAATATGGACTGAACTGGGGATCATTGTGTTAAGTGAAATAAGCCAGGCAGAGAGACAAACTTCACACGTTCCCACTTATTTGTGGGAACTAAAAATTAAAATAATTGAACTCATGGACATAGTAGAATGATGGTTACCAGGGGGTGAAGGGGAATTAGGGATGGTTAATGGGTACAAAAAGTAGTTAGAATGAATAAGACCTGGTATTTGATTGCACAAAAAGGTGACTATGGTTAATAATTGTACATTTTAAATATAATAGGACTGTAACGTAAAGGATAAATGCTTGAGGGGATAGATACCCCATTTACCATAATGTGATTATTTCATATTGCATGCCTGTATCAAAGTATCTCATGTACCCCACAAATACATACGCCTATTACGTACCCACAAAAATTTAAGGGTTTATGTGCTTTAATTCCTCGTGAAAGGAATGTCTAATAATTAAAGAGTCTCCAAAAGTACAGATCTACCTTTTAGTTCACAAATTTCATTTAATTTTATTATGTTCTTTAACCTTTCCATGGGATTTTAAAACTAAATTATATTTTTATTCTTAGAAATTTTTTCAAATCTGCTTGTTAACTTCTAATAGACTTTACTTTTACTCACCTCTTAATTCTTCTTTAACCATGTTTAACATCCTTATTTATATATTATATCTGATAATTCTGTTATATGAAATCTATCTTAATGTGGTCTGTCACTGCAGCCTTTTTTCTGCTTAGGATAATTTATGTCTTGTGATTATTTGTGAAGTTGTACTTTTTGAGATTCATTTTAATTTCTCCAAACCAGGAATAAGGCTGCATTTGTCTAGGGAGTATTTGTTTCTCCCAGAGACTGGTAGTAACTTACGGACCAGGTCTTTGTTAAGTAGAATTCTCCGGGAGAGGTTTTGGGACACATGTGGATTCTTTGGCTACTATATATAAGCTAGCTTATGGCTCAGGAGTGGCTTTATTTAAAAAAACAAAAAACAAAACAAAGCAAAACAAAACACTGTACCTAGAACCTAGACTAAGCAAGTAATCACGCACGGAGGACTCCATGGCAATGCCTGTGTTCACTTGCCTTCTTAGCCCCTACTTCCTTTTAACCTCCTTTTCAATCATTGCCTCGTGGAATTTATCTTCCCAATGTATTCATTTTAAAGTGTGTGTGTGTGCGTGTGTGTGTGTGCGTGATGCAGAATTGTTACCTAATTTGCCATCAGAATTTCAGATCATATTGTCAGAGATATATGTTCTAAGATTTGTGTTATGTGATACTCTTGGATTTGTATTATATGTCACACGATTATAATTCTTTTGTGACTATATTTGAGTGCAGTGTTGCTGTGGACTGAGCCTCACATATCCTAACAACCTATGGATTAGAGCCCAGTAAATGCCGCCTGTGTTCTGACTGTTGCTGCACTTGTCTTATTTCCCATCTAGGAAGCAAATACCTAGGGACTTAAAATGCATCTTGCTCATGACTGTATTACCAGTGGATGCTGGTAAACCGGCTCCCTTAAAGTAAAAAGCCCTGATCTGTACTGTTTGCCAACTTCTGCCACGCAAATACTCCAATTGTGGCCAATTTCAAGCTACCAATGCCCTAACAATTGGCTCAAAAAAATTCCCTGGAATTTTAAGAGTGGACCCTTGCCAGCTGAAAGGGCTGGTCCAGCACACCACTGCCACGGCTCCTCTGGCACGTAACAGAAAGAGTGCTCAAGAAATACTTGTTCAAGTACAAAATGACTTTCCAGTACCTTGAGTAGTGCTAAGAACGGTCATAAATTCCTCCCATTTTTCAGATTTTTTGAAGGGATAACTCAAGCAAAGTTTCCCCGCTGTATCTTCTGTCCTTCTCCCATCTTTCCAGTTCAGGCAATAAAATGACTAAATACCTTGTTCTTTAACATCTTTCAATTTCCTACAAGACTGCAAAAATGAAATGACTAGAATGGATATGATAGCTGAAACGTGACATTGAAAGCAAAGTGTGTCATAAGTAAGTTTCGATGTATTTAGTGCCCCACACAACAATGAAGGGTTGCTGCAATGTAAAAACCAAATTTTCTGCTTTGTGAAAATGGAAGAAAAACCCTAGAGTCCTTCCTTAGGAGTAAGATAATTGGTTTTATGGATATAGCATGCGTAATATTCCTAACTGATTACCCTGGCACAGTTAAATCAGCTATTGGTATCCAATAGTCTAAAAAGCATGCAAGTTGAGAGAAAAAAGAGCTGCTTCCAGTTTAGTGGTTGCAACAGGCTTCAGGAGAGAGATAACATTGAGTTGGACCGAAAAAGATGTGTAAAATTTTAGCTATACAATGTTGGGAACACTTTAGGAATAGAGGAAACCTCTAAAAATCATACCATTTCTCTGTATTTTCTAAATGTAAATTCTTTCCTGGACAACTATAAATGATATAATAATCTACAGATTTATGTAGGTGAAGATGTCTTAGCTATTAAAGGATAGATAGCTTGCCCCTTGACAAGGGGGATAAGAATTAAACTGCTAAAGTCTTCATTTCTCTCCTTTTTCCAGTTAACCTAAGTCTTACTTTTAAAGGGACTAAGAGTTCTAGAAAGGAATTCCACCATGAAATTTTCATAGCACATTCAATTTTTAAGGAAAATAGCTAACATAAATTTCCCTTGAAGTTAAAGTCTTTTATACTTCAAAGTGTTTGGGGATGTGATTTGATAAGTCTGATTTAAAAGTTTGCTTGAAGTCTTATGGAGTTTATTACATGTTTTGTTGAGAGGGCATGGTTGAAAGCTGAGTGAAGATTTGAGGGATTTTTCAGACTGTCTACGTTTCAATAGCAAACATCTTGAGAGTTTATTGTAAACAGATGATGATTTATTACCTCCATTGTCTAAAACCAGAAAGTCGGAACTCAGATTCCCTCTCATCACCTGCCTCCAATCAATCACCAGTCTTGTTCATCATACTTCATTAATATTTCTCACATCTATCCACTCTTCTGTACCCCATTTACTGCTGAGTTGAGGCTACCACCTGTCATCTTGCAGAAACCTGTGGATGCATCTCTTCTAGCTGTGCTTTTCCTTATTGGTTATGATTAATTTTCTGCTGCCTATAAAAGTAAGTACAAATCACAGCAACGTAAAATAAAGATACATATATTTTTTTCCTCCAGTAGAGGAGGTCTGAAGCTAAAGAGACTCCTAGGGCTGGTACGCCATCTCCATGGACAAGAGGACTGTGTTTCCGCTTTGCCATTCTAAGCATGTGGCTTCCATCCTCAAGGCTGCCTCACGATAGCAAAATGGGCACTGTTGCTAAGGCCATCCCATTCACAGCAAGGAGGAAGAGAACAGGGGCAGAGTATGCCTTGCCATCAGTCCCCCTCTAAGAGGTTTTTCCAGGAGCCTTATCCCCACAAATTCTACTTGCAGCTCACGGAGCCCCCTATTTGCAATGGAAGCCAAGAAAAATAGTTTAATTGGAAATATTGCTGTTCCCAATAAATAGAGGTTCTATTGATAAAGAAGAGGAAAGGGGATATTGAGGAGGCAACCGGCAGTGCTTGACCATGTATCAATATTTGGGTGACATTGCAACTCTTAGTAAAATGAACATTGATCACATCAGTCACCCAAGTGAAATCCTCTCATTGCTCCTTGTTGTTCTCTAAGTTTCCATACAAGGCCCTGCAGGATCTGCTTCTGCTTTATCTCTTGACATTCTACATCTCACTCTCTGTGCTCTACCCATGGACTCAAGCTCCTGCCTCCTCCCCAAACTCCCAGGACTTGACACAAGTTATATCCTCACTCCCCGCTGCCCTCCTTGGCTGTTTACTTGCTAATTTAGATCCAGCATAGACTTTGTCAGAAGTCTTCTGTGACCACTCAAGGATGGGTTAGGCATCCCATTTCTGTTTCTTTACCCCTTGTATGCATTTAGTACGTTCTACTCTATTTATCTTCTACTCATCTATGTCCCCGAATAGATGGTAAGCTCATGGAGAAATAGGAAATTGTTTCAGTCATCTTTGCATCTCCTGCACCTAGCACAGGAATAGCACATCAGAACTCTTAATGCATTTTGGTTGAATGAATAAACTAACTGACTAAAGCCTGGGTTGTGATGGGATCATTTGTCTTGATGACTCCAGCAATAGTTGCCAGCCCGGGAGTGGGAGCAGCTGGGAACGTGGTGGGGAGTTAGGCACAGGAACAAGAATCAAACGGGCAGTGAAATGACCCATCAGAGTTGACAGCTTTTAGCTTCAGATTCAATAGTTTACATGTGAAATTTATAGAAACCACAAAATCAACATGAAAAGATTCTTTTGCATGGCCATCAGAAGATGAATCCATATCATGGTATTTAAGTAGAGTTTGAGATTAGTTGTGACTCGTAAAGACTCTCTGGGAGTCCTGTGGGCAGGTCTCTTGACCTGAACATACATGTGATACGTAAGATACAATTTTACTAATGATAAACTATTGGAATTTCTTCAGGGGCATCTCATAAAAGCAATGCCATTTTCCCTATTCTGCTAAATTATGTTATAGAATCTAGCCTGTGCTCAGGACTAAGGGGTTGGTGGAAGGTGGGTTCCCACCACCCTCTGAGATCATGGGGCCAGTATCTGGACCAAGGCTAGAGAACAATGAATGTGAATAGCCCCCATGTGGACTGTGTGCACATCACACCCCTGAGAGCATCTGAGTAACAGAAATATAGTGATCCTTCCCCCCAGAGCCACTTAATATTTAAGTTTTAGAAATTTCTCCTGAATAATATCTAGTCATAAGAGGGAAAGAAACAGGTCTCATTGCTAAGCCATGTGTGGTTTAATAAAACCACTAATTTGACCAGCAGTCAAGCAACTGGATATACCCTGCTTCAGAGCCAAGCCCTGTGTCTGACATACAGTAAGTGTTCAAAAAATAATTATTAAATGGAGGAATGAATGGTTTGGTGGCACCGATCTAGATATTTTGATGAATGTATCACATAATCTTTCTCTGCTGAAGAGATCTTCAAACCAGGAAGTTTGGGAATTATGCATCACCTAACAAGATCCAACTGTGCTTGATTTTGTACTTTCTTTCACCTATAATAGAGAGATGGTTGAAATCCTAATTTTACCATAGTTCTCACAAATTTAACCTTAGTTCTTTAGTTCCTTTGTATCACCTTAGATCTGAGAGGTTAAATTGAGTGTTTTGTAATGTGGCTTAATTGTATTTCTCTTTTGCCAGTGGAGAAATAATTTTATTTCGGTGGAAGGTTCATGGCTAAAGAAGAACTCCTATAGGATAAACTGGAATCGAATGCACATATTCATCATGCTGTCTGAAAATGCATATATTTAACTTTCAATTACCTACTGTAATAAAGAGAAGGTCTATCCATGTAATAAGGGTTTGACATAATACAGAGAAAAATGTTTGAAATTAAAACAAGTCAGATTTCAAAATGTGGAATTTCTGATCATTCAAATAGAGTAGATCTAAAATTTTATAGTCTACATGAAAGTTTCTAACATGCTATTTCAAATAGTCCTAAGTTCGTTAAAGCTATTCCAGTTGAATCTCCCTTGGGAACCACTTTGGAGCTCTTTGGAGCTGTTGGTAGAAGTTATTGTTATACTCCAGAAAGCATAAAGCTACATTTCTTGAAACGTGATCTCTAATTCTAAGGAAACTCTTTTATAATTACTCTGAATTAAAAGGGCTTTTTTGTTAGAAAGCATTATAAGATATTCAGAGACAGCAGATTTATCATCCCCAGTTTTCTTTGGCATAGGCTAAATAGTAAAATTATCCAACCTTCCTGGTGCATGAAGTGACCTGGACAAGGGACCCTGGTAGCCTCTCCATCGATAATTGTGTCTTTCTTGGTTTTTAATTTTTCCTGGGCTCTGTGTAAGGACTAAGAGCAATGCCAAGTCACAATATTACTCACAAGAAAATCTATCATTTTAACTGGCCAGCCTGCCTAATTAAGGAAAGGGAACTGGATCTTTTCTTAGGAGACTGAAATCATATTAAGAGCACTTCAAGAGTTCAGAGAAATCCTGTTTGATGTGGCTGAAATAGTGTGAGTTCAAAGGAGCTTTGTTCTCCTCAGCATGGCTCAGCTCTGGACACCTCAGAGCATCAACCTCAACAGTTTGGAGTTCCCTAGACCTGACTGCCACATGGGTTACTGCAGACAAGGGCGTCAGAGGCTGGATGTGGCATCATTAGGCAGGGTTAGAAAGCTACTAGTGGGGGCACGAAGATAAGAACTCGGGCTTCCAGAATTCTAGAATGGTTTTTCTATAAATATGTGACTAGTTCTTTACCCCATAGCAATATTTGCAATCAGACAGGTCTGGCTTTGAACTGGGTAAACGTTTAATCACTCTAAGGCAGTGGTTCATAACTGGGGTCAACTTTGCCACCCAGGGGACAGTTGGCAACGTCTGGAGACACTACTGGAATCTAGTGCCACGGATGCTGCTAAACATCCTACAATGCACAGCCCCATCATAAAGAATTATCTGGCCTCAAATGTCAAAAGCGCTGAATAATTTTAATATTTAAAGGTTGAATAATTTTAATATTTACAACCCTGCTCTACGCCTTGGTTTCCTCCTCAGCAATATGGAAGTAACAATGCTTTCTTAATAGGGTCATTGAGAGGATTAAACATGATAATAAAAGCAATATTTTTAATTAGGTACCTTGCCCACAATGGGCACTCAGTAATAGATAGCTACCAGGAAATTTAGTGGGGCATAAACAAATTTTCCACTGTCACTAAAACTCCCTTGACCACTGCTTGGCTTCATGCAGCCCGGTGTTTCTTTACAGGTTCACATCCACTCTACAATGGTCTATGCCTGTTCTTATACAGACATTCCTCAATTTACGATGGGGCTCTGTCCCAAGAAATCCACTGTAAATCAAAGATATCATAGGTAGAAGTGCATTTAATACATCTATCCTACTGAACATCATAGCTTAGCCTAGCCTACCTCAAACGTGCTCAGAATGATGACGTTAGCCTACATTTGGGCAAAATCATCTAAGACAAAGCCTATTTTATGATAAAGTGTTGAGGATCTCACATAATTGATTGAATACTATACTGGCAGTAAAAAACAGTATGGTTATATAATTATGTATGTATAATTTAGTACTTGAAGCATGGTTTCTACTGAATGTGTATCACTTTCATACCATTGTAAAGTCAAAAAAAAAAAACAGTTAACTTGAACTATCCTAACTTGGACTGTGTGTATATGATATCTCTTCATTCTTTAGGATCTTTAGTTTTTTAAGTCCCTTATTTGGTAGGTAGGAGAATTTATCAGTTATTGCTTCAGGCAGGAGTGTTTGGGTGAATGCGTTAAGTATCTGCTTGCGTAGAATATTTTCTGCTGTTCTCCCATGTGCATAATAGCCTGAAACCCTGGAAACAAGGCTTGTATAGCATTTTCTTCTGGTGTTTAGAATTAAGAAAGAGAGAGAACTGAGGCCAATCTAATTCTTCTTTCTAGATAATCTGGACTTACTGGATTTGTAAGATATTTGCTTTTTGCTTGACATAGTAGTAATTCAGAGTATGTTTTTCTGTTTCATTAACGGTTTGGGAAATTGACGGAACCTTAAAGCTAGAGATGTTATTTGGCCATGGCAACTTTTAAAATATTTGATTATTTTTTGAGACAGAGTCTCATTGCATCGTCCAGGCTGGAGTACAGTGGCGCAATCTCGGCTCACCAAAACGTCCGCCTCCCAGGTTCAAGCAAGTCTCCTGCCTCAGACTCCTGAGTAGCTGGAATTACAGGCACGCGCCACTATGCCTGGCTAATTTTTGTATTTTTAGTAGAGACAGGGTTTCACGATGTTGGGCAGGCTGGTTTTGAATTCCTGACCGGGTGATCCACCCGCCTCTGCCTCCCAAATTGCTGGGATTAGATGCGCGAGCCATCGTGCCCGGCCTATATGTTATTTTATTTTTAAATTGATTATAATTGTACATATTTTTAGGGTACATAGATCAGAGTAATTAGCATATCAGTCATCTCAAACATTCTTTCTTTGTGTTGGGAACATTCAATATGTTTCCTCTAGCTACTTGAATGTATGTCATATATTACTATGTTAACTATAGGCATCCTACAGTGCTAAGTGAATAAAGAAAATGTATATATACACAATGGAATACTATTCAGCCATAAAAACAATGAAATCTTGTAATTCAAGGTAACTTTAAAGATGTTTCATTGAGATAAAAATCGCACACCAACAATCTATTAAAGTGTGCAATTCAATGGTTTTATTTTTTACTTACTTTTTAATATTTTATTTCACCAACTTTTGGGATACATGTGGTTTTTGTTTACATGGAAGAATTATATAGTGGAGAATTCTGAGATTTTATTGCACCCAAGTAATACACATCATACCCAATATGCAGTTGTTTCTTTTATCCCATCTTTTCCCTTCTACATTTCCAAAGTCCATTTTACCATTTTGTACACCTTTGCGTACTCATAGCTTAGCTCCCACCTATAAGTGAAAACATACAGAATTTGGTTTTCCATTCCTGAGTGACTTCACTTAGAATAATGGCCTCCAGCTTCATCCAAGCTGCTGCAAATGACATTATTTCATTTCTTTATATAGCTGAGTAGTGTTCCATGGTGTATATATACCACATTTTCTTTATCCTTCTTACTCATTGGTCATTGAGCACTTAGGTTGGTTTCATATCTTTGCAATTGTGAATTGTGCTGCAATAAACATACATGTGTGTCTTTTTCATATGATGACTCCTTCTCCACTGGGTAGATACCCAGTAGTGGGATTGCTGGATCAAATGATAGGTCTACTTCTAGCTCTTCAAGGGATTTCCATACTGTTTTCCATAGAGTTCTATTAATTTGCATTCCTACCAGCAGTGTATAAGCATTCCCCTTTCACCATATCTACGCCAACAGCCATTGTTTTTTGACGTTTTAATAATGGCCATTCTTACAGAAGTAAGGTGGTATCACATTGTGGTTTTAATTTGCATTTCCCTGGTGATGGCAATGTTGAGCATTTTCCAAATATGTTTGGCCATTTGTAGATCTTCTTTTGAGAAATGTCTGTTCATATCATTTGCTCACTTTTTGACGGGATCTTTTTTTTCATGCTGATTTGAGTTCCTTGTAGATTCTGGATACTGGTTTTTGTCAGATGCGTAGTTTGCAAATATTTTCTCCTATTCTGTGAATTGTCTGTGCTGATGATTATTTCTCTTGCTGTGCTGAAGCATTTTAGTTTCATCGGGTCCCATTTATTCTTGTTGCATTTGTCTTTGGGGTCTTAGCCATGAATTTTTTCCCTAGACCAATCTCCAGAAGAGTTTTTTTTCAAGATTATCTTCCAAAATGTTTATGGTTTCAGGTCTTATACTTAAGTCTTTGATCTATCTTAAGTTGATTTTTATATAAAGTGAGAGAGAGGGATCCAGTTCCATTCTTCTACCTGTGGCTAGCCAATTTTCTCAGCACCATTCATTAAATAGGGTGTCCTTTTCCCAGTTGATATTTCTGTATGTGTTGTTGAAGATCAGTTGGGTGTATGTATTTGGCTTTATTTCTGGGTTCTCTATTCTGTTCCATTGGTCTATGTGCCTACTTTTATACCAGTACCACACTGTTTTGGTAACTATAGCCTTGTAGTGTAACTTGAAGTCTGGTAATGTGGTGCCTACATATTTATTCTTTTTGCTTATGGTTGCTTTGGCTATTTGGACTCTTCTTTGGTCTTTATATGAATTTTAGGATTTTTTTTCTAATTCTGAAAAATGATATTGGTATTTTGATGGGAACTGCATCAAATCTATAGATTGCTTTGGTTAGTGTGGTCATTTTCACAATGTTGATTCCAATCCATGAGCATGGGATGTGTTTCCAGTTGTTTATGTCATCTATGATTTCTTTCAGCAGTGTTTTGCAGTTCTTCTTATAGAGATGTTTCACCTCCTTGTTTAAGTGTGTTCCTAGGTATTTTATTTTATTTTTGAAGCTGTTGTAAATGGGATTGAGTTCCTGGTTTGATTCTCAGCTTGGTTGTTGTTGGCATTTAGCAGGGCTACTGATTTGTGCACATTGATTTTGTAACCTGACACTTGATTTAATTTGTTTATTAAATCTAGGAGTTTTTAAAGTTTTCTAGGTATATGATCATATTAACAGAAAACTGTGATAGTTTTGACTTCCTCTTTGGATGACTTTTATTTCTTTCTCTTGCCTGATTGCTCTGGCTAGTACCTCTAGTACTATGTTGAATAGAAGTGGTGAGAGTGGGCATCCTTGTCTTGTTCCAGTTTCAGGGGGGAATGCTTTGAACTTTTCCTCATTCAATATGATGTTGACTGTGGGTTTGTCATAGTGGCTTTTATTAATTGAGGTGAGTCCTTTCTTTACCTAGTTTGTTAGGGGTTTTTATGACAAAGGGATGACGGATTTTGTTGAGTGCTTTTTCTGCATCTTTTGAGATGATCATATATTTTTTGTTTTTAATTCTCTTCATGTGACGTATCGCATTTATTGACTTGCATATGTTAAATCATCCCTGCATCCCTGGGATGAAACCAACTTGATCATGGTGTATTATCTTTTTGATGTGCTGTGGGATTCAGTTAGCTAGTATTTGGTTGAGAATTTTTGCACCCATGTTCATCAGGGATATTGATTGTAGTTTCTTTTTTGTTATGTCCTTTCCTGGTTTTGGTATCAAGGTGATACTGGCTTCACAGAATAATTTAGGGAGGGTTTCTTTTTTCTCAATCTTTTGGAACAGTTTCAGTAGGATTGATACCAATTCTTCCTTGAATGTCTGGGAGAATTCAGCTGTAAATCCATCTGGCCCTGGGCTTTTTTTCTGCTAGCATTTTTTTTCTTTTTATTTTTTTATTTTTTTTTTTTTACTGATTCAATCTCTCTGCTTGTTATTGGTCTCTTCAGGGTTTCTATTTCTTCCTGATTTAATCTAGGAGGGTTGTATGTTTCCAGGAATTCATCCATTTCCTCTAGGTTTTCTAGTTTGTGTACCTACAGATATTTATAGTAGTCTCAAATGATCTTTTGTATTTCTGTGGTGTCAGTTGTAATGTGTCCAGTTTCATTTCTAATTGAGCTAATTTGGATCTCCTCTCTTCTTTTCTTGGTTAATCTAGCTAATGTTCTATCAGTTTTATCTTTTCAAAGAACCAGCTTTTTGTTTCATTGATCTTTTATATTATTTTTGTTTCAATTTTATTTAGTTCTGCTTTGATCTTTGTTATTTATTTTCTTCTGCTAGCTTTGGGTTTAGTTCTTGTTTCTCTAGTTCCTTGAGGTGTAACATCAGGTTGTCAATTTGTAATCTTTCAGACTTTTTGATGTAGGCATTTAGCACTATAAAATTTCTTAGCACTGCTTTTTCTGTATCCCAGATATTTTGATAAGTTGTCATTGAACATTCACTGTAAAGAGTTTTTAATTTCCATCTTGATTTCATTATTAAGTCAAAAATCATCCAGGAGCAAATTGTTTAATTTCCATGTATTTGTATAGTTTTGGGGGTTCCTTTTGGAGTTGATTTTTAGTTTTATTCCACTGATGTCAGAGGATACTTGATACGATTTTGATTTTTTTAAAAAAAGTTTATTGAACACTTATTTTGCGTCCTATCTTGGCAAATGTCCCATGGGCTAATGAGAAGAATATATTTTCTGCAGTTCTTAGGTAGAATGTTCTTTAAATATCTGTTAGGTTCCTTTGTTCTAGAGTGTAGTTTAAGTCCATTGTTTCTTTAACTTTCTATCTTGGTGATCTGCATAGTGCTGTCAGTGGAGTATTGAAGTCCCTCACTATTACTGTGTTTCTGTCTATCTATTAGGTCTAGTAGTAATTGTTTTATGAATCTGGGAGCTCCAGTGGCTAGGAGCATATAAATTTAGGATTATAATAACTTCTTATGGGATTGATATTTTTATTATATAATGACCTTCTTTGTCTTTTTTTTTCCAAAGTCTGAAGTTTTATTATTACTCAAATCAGTCTCCCCAAGAATTTGGGGATCGAAGTTTTTAAGAATAATTTGGTGGGTGGGGGGCCAGTAAGTTGGGAATTCTGATTGGTCAGGTCAGAGATGAAATCACAGGGAGATGAAGCTGTCCTCTTGTGCTGAGTCACTTCCTGATCAGGGGCCACAAGACCTTATGAGCCAGTTTACCAATCTGAGTGGTGCCAGCTGATCCATTGAGTACTTAAGATCCATCAAGTATCTGAAGAACTGATCTTAGGTTTTACAATTGTGATATTATCTCCAGGAGCAATTTGGGGAGGTTTAGTATCTTGCAGCCTCCAGCTGCAAGACTCCTAAACCATAATTCCTAATCATTTGGATAATTTGTTAATCCTACAAAGTCAGTCTAGTCCCCAGGCAAAAGGAGGGTTTGTTTTGGGAAAGGGCTGTCTTTGTTTCAAACTATAAACTAAGTTCCTCTCAAAGTAAGTTTGGCCTATGCCCCGGAACGAACAAAGACAGCTTGGAGTTCAGGAGGAAGATGGAGTTGGTTAGGTTAGATCTCTTTTACTGTCTCAGTTATAATTTTGCAATGGCAGTTTCAGTTACTCCCTTTGGGTTTTATAACACCTTAATCTTCAAGTGTGAGCTAATGAAGATGGAAAGAGGATGACAACTGCTCTGACTTCTTCCTGATGACAAGGGGGCTTAGTGGGGGTAGGTGTTGACCCCAAGATGAGAGGAGTGGAACCATTTTGCAGCTGTCTGAGCTGTCTGAGAATACTCCTGAAGGTCAGGCTAGGGTTCCAAGGCTTTCCTGACAAAGGTGTTAGTATTCTCATCTATAGTTTTAGTACAGCATTTAAGTTGTCAGTGTACTATAAGGTAAATAATGAGTTCTAGGATAAGCAGTACAATTCCCGGTTTAAAAAATAAAGATTTGAAATCATTAGTGTGGGGATTTGTAGCCAATAAAGAATTTAGGATTTGGTCTAACTTGCAAGAAAAAATTTGCAAAAAGTCGGCATGAATAATTATTTGCCATATAGACTTCTTTTAAAAATTGCCTTTGCTGATAATTTATTCTATAAGGAATCCCGAATTGAAAGCCTTGACCCCAACCCATACCTGGCTGCAAATACCTGTATTAATTTGATGAATTCCTCACCTTGAGGTCTCAAGATAACTTGGGGCTCCTGGGCCTGTCAAAAAGTGACACTCTTTACTTACCACAGATCAGGAACCCTGTACAGTGACTGTATAGATAAGCTATGAGGCCAGATTTCCTAACGGACTTTTACTGGCTCTATAAGTCAACATTGATTACTTAAAGCCTGTCATTCCAGTCAAAGCCTTGGTAAAATAACTAGTTTATCCAATTGTGTCCTGTTACAAAATAAAACAGATTCTTATTTTACTTATGCAAATAACTACACTGCCATAAGTTGTGAATACTTACAAATAGTTTTTAAATTTTGGAGAAATCAGGTAGAAAGCAATATGCTCCAAATTTTGCTCCTAGGAATATACATTTTACTTAATTGCTCAAAGTTGTAAATAGCTCAAAAGAAATTTTTTGACTCTGAAAAACAAAAGGGTTAGCAATGTTTAGCAATGTTTAAGACATCAGCTCTCCACAAGAGTACTTAGAAGTTTTTTCCCCTCTATTCCAATGGCACAATTTCTAATGTTATCAGAGATCTGCATTCAAGAGTATCTGTCAGAGTCCTATATCTGATTATAAACTGCGTTTTGAAAAGGATCAAAACAAGACAGAAATTATCCATGGATGACAAAAGACTCAGGAAAGCCATAAAGGTGCAATTAACAAGGAAATTTGGCCATCTCTGTGATACCTAATAATTTAACATAATAATTATAATTATTACTCATGACATATACTGAGACATATCAGAATTATAGGAATCTTATATGATACTGCTGTTGCTTTAAAGTCTCTTTTATCTGATATAAGAATAGCTATTCCTGCTCACTTTTGGTTTCAATTTGCCTGGAATGTATTTTTCCACCCCTTTACCTTGAGTGTTTATGAATCTTTATGTATTAGATGAGTCTCTTGAAGACAGAAGATACTTGGTTTGTAATTCATTTTTTTTTTTTTAATCTGTTCTGTCAATCTGTATCGTTTAAATGGAACACTTAGGCCATTTATATTCAACATTAATATTGAGATGTGAGGCACTGTTTCATTCATCATATTAATTCTTACCTAGATACTTTTTTTCATTTTGTTATTTTATAGGCCCTGGGAGTTTTATGCTTTCAAGAAGTTCTATTTTGATGCACATTGAGCTTTTTGTTTCAAGATTTAGAAGTTTTTTTTAGTATTTCTTGTAGGGCTTGTCTGGTGGTAACATTCTCTCAGCATTTGTTTGTCTGACTTTATTTCTCCTTCATTTGTGAAATTTTGTTTTGCTGGATACAAAATTCTTGGCTGACAATTATTCTGTTTAAGGAGGCTAAAGATAAGACCCCAATCCCCTCTGGCTTGTAAGGTTTCTGCTGAGAAGTCTCCTATTAGTCTGATACATTTTCCTTTATAGGTTACCCGATGCTTTTGTCTCACAGCTCTTTGAATTCTTTCTTTCATTTTGAGTTTAGATAGCCAATGACTATATGCCTTGGTGATTACCTTTTTGCAATGAATCTGTCATGAGTTATTTGAGCTTCTTGTATTTAGATATCTAAATCTCTAGCAAGGTCCCAGAATTTGTCTTTAATTATTCCCCCAGATAAGTTTTCCGAACTTTTTGCTTTGTCTTCTTCCTCAGGAACAACAATTTTTCCTAGCTTTGGCCATTTTACATAACCCCCTATTTCCTGGGCAATTTGTTCATTTCTTTTTATTCTTTTTTCTTTATTTTTGTCCAGTTGGGTTAATTCTAAAGCCTGCTCTTTGAGCTCTGAAATTCTTTCTTCTACTTGTTCTAGTCTATTGTTGAAACTTTACGCTGCATTTTGTAATTCCTCTAAAGTGTATCTTTCATTTCCAGAAGTTCTGATTGGTTTTTCTTTAAGATATCTCTTTAGATAATTTTTCATTCATATCCTGACTTGTTTTATAAATTTCTTTTTATTGGTTTTCAACTTTCTCTTGTATCTACTTGAGTAACTTAATAATAAGCTTTTTGAATTCTTTATCTGGTATTCCAAACATTTCATCTTGGGTTTGAATCCATTGCTGGAGGGTTAGTGTGATATTTGGGGATGTTATAGAACCCTGTTTTGTCATATTACCAGAATTATTTTTCTGCTTTCTTCCTATTTATTCCTTCTAATTATTCTTGAATTTATTTTTTATTTGACTGTGTGGCTTGTTTTAATGCCTTTTTTTTTCCTCCATTAAGGATGTGGCCCTAATGTTTATAGTTTATTGTAGCCTAATTTGGCTCTTGGTGCTTTCAGGGGCAAAGATTCTTTATGAGTTCCTTGGTGGTAGAGAGTCTTTGGATGATGGCTTTGTCAGATGCTGGTTGTAGTACCAATGCACTCAGTGTACAAGCAAGTTCACTGTCTCCTATAGTGTTGGAATGGCAGAGATCTCTTAAAGCTTATCTCATTCCCCCATGGTGTATACTTTTAAAAAGAAATATTTTTTCCTCAGTATTTTATTTACTGGGTTGAATAGTTCAGGCTTCAGGCCAATAAGGGAGGTGTTCATGGGTAAAAAGTGGCTCTGGCTAAAGCAGCTGTGTAAATGCAGTACCCAATGGTGGGTCCTTGACAGAGGTGGCTGGGGGCGCTCTTAGTAAAATGCATTGAGGTCTTATCGGAGGAAAGGACTGGAGCCACCTCAGCTCTCCTGCCAGGACAGCAAGAAAGGTATCCACTTCCCAGACAACTCCTGACCCAGTATTCTGGCTATTCAGATCACATAGGCACCTCTTTTAATCTGCAGGAATGTTCATATTCCAAGTAGAGAGGAACTGTGACTCTACCTCTCAGCAAGCCTGCACCTGAAAGGCATTCTTCTGTGGGGATGCAGTTACCCTGAAGTGTCCAAAGAGGCTGTCTATAGGTACACCCCTGCTAAGCTCCTGTGGGAAAAACCCCAGCTGTGTCTTTAGTAGTGGATGAGGGGGCAAAGAAGTCCCCTTCTCCAAGACCCTTCATGAGAACCAGGACTGCCTGACTGTTGGGTAGAGCTACAGACTTGCCCTGTTGTGCCCAGCACTGCAACTGTGCCTCAGCTGAAAGAAACTTCCCACTAGGAGAAAGATCTGGGACTCAAGACCTGCTGTCTGAGTTCTTTGGTCCCATGAGGCATTCCCTTCATGTGGTACACTTCCCCTTCCCCAGGAGTAGAAGTCCTTGAGAGCCAGACTGCTGTAAATGCTGCTGCTCCTCTGGGTCTAGCTGCCCAGTGGGGCTGCCATACACCAGGATGGTGCAAGGAAATGTCTGCAAGGGATCCAGATATGTGACCTGTCCTCAAGTTGCCCAGCAGTGGGTACCAGCACAGCTACAGCTCTGATGGGGGTGGGAGCGGGGAGACATAAACTCTGAGATTCCTTGGTTATGGATAGCCTTAGTATGTTGGCTCTCTCAAATGCTGGTTGTAGTAGTAATGAACTGGTCACATGGCAGACTCAAAGCCTCCTGACTAGCCAGGGTGGTACAGGCAATGATGATAGCTGAGGTCACACACAAGTTTTCTCCTTCCCGGGTGCAGTGTTAATCTACCTGGAGATGAGTGGAGTTTTGTTTTGTTTTTCACCTGCCTCACAGTGTAGGCTGCAGCCTGTCACTTCTTTCAAAGGGTCTGTAGATTTTAGTTTTCCTGTTAAGTTCCTGTATTGCTTCTGTTGCTGGCTCCTCCATCAGCGCCACCTTGACATGGCTCCTTCCTGGGGCATGAAAGCTCTGGCTTCATGGCCTGGGCACTCTCAGCAGAGCAGGTCAGGGACCTAGCTCCTGTGGCCACTGTCACCACAGCCAGATCTCAGCTGTGCCACCTTGTAGGCTGGTTTCAGGGTGCCTCCTGCAGCTACGAGTAATGCCCGGAGTGTGAGCCCATGCTGGTGCTTAAAACCATGATGCAGCGTGGGTGGCAGGTTGCCTAGGAGCTGTCCGCAGTGCTCCTGTCCCAACAGCTGACCGCCACGTTTCTGTTCCCTTTTTCTCCCCCTCCTTCTGTCCTTTTCCACAGAACAGCACTTTCCTTTCCCTCTCCCACTCCTTCAGAGTAGTGCAACCATCATCATGGTCAATTTTAGTATAATTTCAGCCCCCCTCACAAAACACCATGCCCATGAGCAATCACTCTGTGTTCCACACCCTCCTCCCTCCAGCCACAGACAACCACTAATATACCACAGTAGTGCCCCCCGCAACCCCGTATCTGCAGGGGATATATTCCAAGAGCCCTAGTGGGTGCCTGAAACAGTGTATAGTACCAACCCTTATATACATTTCCCTCTCCATCCTCTCCTATGATAAAGTTTAATTCATAAATTAGGCACAGTACAAGATTAACAATAATAATAATAAAGTAGAACAATTACAGCAATATGCCAGCATCACTACTCTTGCATTTTTGGAGCCATTATTAAGTAAAATAAGGGTTAGTTGAACGTGGTACTGTGATACCATGACAGTTGATCTGATAACTGAGCTGGCTGCTAAATGACTAGCGGTGGGGTAGAGTAGACAGTGTGGATATGCTGGACAAAGGGAAGATTTGTGTCCCAGGCAGGATGGATCCAGACTGAGAGATTTTATCACGTTACTCATAACAGCACACAATTTAAAACTTATGCATTATTTATTTCTGGGATTTTCCATTTAATATTTTTGGGCCATGGTCATCTGTGGGTAGCTGAAACCTCAGGAAAACTGGATGAAGGGAGGCTATTGTATTTTTTCTCTATAGATCTATCCATTCTAGACATTTCGTGCATAGAATCATACAACATGTGATCTGTTGTGACTGTCTTCTTCTGCTTAGAATAATATTTTCAAGATTTATCCATATCGTGGTATATATTAGTACTTCCTTCTTATGGCCAAATAATATTCCATTGTATGAATATAACACATTCACTCTTCAGTTGAGGGACATTTGGATCATTTCCACTTTTCTGGCTACTTTTTAAAATGCTGCTATAAACATTCATGTACTATATTTTTGTGTGGACGTGTTTTTCTCTCTTTTTAATATCCCTTGGAATGGAATTACTAGGTCATAACTTTATTTAACCTTATAAGGAATTGTCAGACTATCTTCCAAACTGGCTGTGCCATTTTACATTTCCATCAGCAGTGTATGTGGGCTGTAGATTTTCTACATCCTCACTGACTTTATTGTAATCTGTCATTTTGATTGTAGCCATCCTAGTGGGTATGAAATGGCAAGGGAATTTCTAAAACAGGTTTATTAATCATCTTAATCTCTTTATCCTTTACCTCTAAATCCTGCCATAACTTCTCAAACTGAACCACTAAGTCATTTTATTTTTTTGACATATCTACTTAATTCTTCTCATTATATCCGTTAGATCTATTTCTATCCATACCCAAGCCCCTTCACTCTTCAGTTCTTCATTGACAGGAAATCTATTTGGTCCATAGAAAACTGCTAGTTTTGTTGGTCAAAATGATCAAACATCAGCAATTTTATACAGTTAAGCCCAATGTTTTGATTTTGGAGTTCTCCCTCTCCACAGATATAATGTCTTCTTGAACAATTTTGTGAGAGTGATCTAGAGATTTCTTAAAAATTGTCTTCTGGTTCCTGGAGAAGACTTTTCATGAGTAACGTTTGTCTAATTCCTCAAAAGATCTATCTGGATTACTCAGTCTACTGAGATCTGGTTATTTTGTTTTCTTTGCTCATTCTTTAAGAGGTAGCTTTTTAAAAAAAAATTAGTATCACAACTTGTGATGGATTTTTCCCAAAATTCCAGGGGCTCCTATTCAAACTACTTAATCTCTGGCAAAGAGAAACAGGGAAAACTCTTTTTCCCTAGTTTTTGTTTGGCTTCCTTCTTGCTTTACCACCAAGAGTTGGGAGAGATGAAAGAGTGAGGCATGTTTACAGCTGTGCTCAGCACTTTCTTCCCCAAATCACCTTGTGCCCTGGTGGGTGTTGGCCCCAAGAAGGCCCAGAAGTTCTTTACAAGGTTGAGCTTTGCCTCTTGCTTCCTGTCTCTGACTCTCTGCCTTCTTTGACCACAGCCCCAGGAACATAGGAGTGCCCACATCTGGCCAGAGCTGTATCTTCAAAGGGAATTGTGAAAGAATCCTGAAGAAATGGTCAGTGAGCCTAGGGGTCATAACTCTCTACTCCCCATGTCTCCCTATTTTAGCTTCTTCCTGTGAGAGCTTATAGATCTCCTCAAAATTTTCTGAGGAGTCCTGGCTCTTTCAGAGTCATTGTAATAGAGACAAGCAAGATTTCTTCTAATATTGCTGGTCCACCCATTGCATATCTTGGGGGGTACATTATTATGATTAAAATCTTTCCAAGAAGGAAAGAAAAGACAGAGGTGAAGGGGATCCACACGCTCATCCCACCCCATCAAGTCAGCTTGGGCACCAAGCCATGTTTTCATTTGGCCATCCTCATTTTTCCCTTGTTTGGAACCCTGCACAGAGGCAGTGTGGTGGAGAGGGTGGAAGCTGGGGTGAGTAGTGCTTTATGTGCAGGGCTCCAGTGAGATTCCCAAAGTTCTCCCAACTATATTCCAGTGTGACCCTTTCATCCAGCCCCTGCTGGCAGGACTTAAGCATATTTCAGTGTCTGAAAAGAGCTTTACTAGGTAGTAAGACAAACACAGGATGCGGTGAGACAGTGCCCACTTAGTTGATACTCCCATATTTTCTTTTTAAATCATCTACATCAAGCAAACTTTGGGGATAGGCATGTGGCCAGAGCTGCTGATCCGTCACAGCCCATGAAGCCCTTTTTCTGAGCCCTGCCAACTGCCCATGGCCTAGTCTGCTACTGTCCTCAGCATCAAAACTGTAGGTTTCTTTGTTTTTTGTTTCAGGATCTCTGGTGGAGATGCTTCCTTGTAAACAGACCCCTATCCTCCAACCCAACTTTAGTTATAAAATTATGTGCTGGGCACCATTGATCAGTATTTTCCTCTTAAAAATATCGTCTGCTTTGTGATTATTAATTTTATATGTCAACTTGACTGGGCTATGGAGTGCCCGGATATCTGGCCAAACATTATAGAGCGTGTCTGTAAGGGTTTTTCTTTCGTGGGGGGAGATGGATGAGGTTAACATTTAAATCAGTAGACTGAGTGAAGTTAATTGCCCTCCCCTAATGCAAGTGTACTACATCTAGTCAGTTGAAGGCCAAAATACAATTAAAAGACTGACTTTCCCTCGAATAGGAGAGAATTTCTCCTTCCTGTTTTCAGACTTGATCATTGGCTTGCTCCTGCCTTCTGACTCGAATGGAAGCATCAGCTGTTCCTGGCTCTTGTGCCTACTGGCCTTTGGACTGCAATTGCACTATTGGCTGTCTTGGATCTTTAGATTACTGACTCACCCTGAAGATCTTGGGATTTGTTAGCCTCCATAATTTTGTGAGCCAATTCATCATAATCATAAAACATATATCTCCATCCAGCTGGTTCTGTTTCTCTGGAGAGCCCTGACTGATACATGCTTCTTATTGTCTAGTATTCCCTTTCTTGTTCTGCTTCCCCTTCTTATTTTTCAATGCTGCTGTAGACATTCTTTTTATTTTGCATCTTCTTGGTCACCATAATGAGTTTCTAGGATGGAGGTGAGATAAACATGTGAGCTCATATCTCCGTCTTGAAACTTGAAGTCCATTAAAGTTTTCAAAGCAGTGAAGAAATCCTCCTTCTTTTCCCTGTAAGCTCCTTCTTATTTTTCAGGTTTTCACACATCCTCCCAACCCCCTCATCCTTTTCTTCCAAGTCACGACACATTTTCTCTCTTCCTTCTCATTGCGGTCTATACTCTGTAGTTCTTTTAAATATACCTCCATTTTTGTGCTTTTTGGTAGTTAAATGCCAGCCATGTCTCTCTTCAAAGGCTGTCATTTTCCTTTTTATTCCACTCACTGACCCTGTAAATGGCATTTGATGTGCAAGAACCTGAACAGTCATTAGCTTAAAAAGGCTTTTTAAAAAAAAAAAAAAAAAAAAAAAAAAAAAGATCTCTCGTAGCTCTGAATCATTTCTTTAAAAAAAAAAAAAAAAAAATGGCACCCTACAGTAAACTCTCTCAATGTCCATGCCTGGTCCTGCTGGGTTTTGATTGCACAGGAAAGCAGAGGAACACTGGGGGATGTGGTTGTGTGCATGATGAGGTGAGTGACTGAAAGTACTTGAAACCCTAAGGTAAGGTTCCTAGGATCAACTGTTTTTTTTCTTGTTCCTTTAAAATAGATCTTAATCTTCCCTCTGAAGGAAGTTATATTTATCTATTTTGCCTGTAAAACTTCTATCTTTTTCTTTCCAGCTTTTATTTCAGGGGTACATGTGCAGGTTTTTTACATGGGTAAATTATATGTCTTTAATTGTATATAAAGATATAATCTTATATATTATATCTTTCCTGTTAAGGTTAAGCAGAATCTTTGAAGGAACTGAACAAAAGGGAATGTCTAATTGAAGCCCCATGCTTACTAAAGTGAGTTGGATTGCATCTTGGACTTATCACTAACTGAATGCATTAAGAAAGTTTTTTTCCCATCCTGGTGTCAGATACACCCAGTCAAATGCCCAACTGGCATGATACAGAGGGAAAATAACAATGTGACCAGGTGTCTTAGTCCATTTGTGTTGCTGTAACAGTATTCTAGATTAGGCAATTTATAAAGAACAGAACTTTATTACTCACAGTTCTAAAGGCTGGAAAGTCCACAACCAAGGTGCTGGCAGGACTGGCGTCTCATGAGGGCCTTTCTCTGCTTCCATGATGTGGTCTTGTAGCTGCATCCTTTGGAGGGGAGGAATGCTGTGTCCTCACAAGGCAAAAAGGGACAGAAGGGGTTTGAAAGAGGATAAACTTCCCCATCAAACCCTTTTATAAGACCACCTAATCTCATCCATGAGGGTGGAGCCCTTATGACTCAATCACCTCCTAAAGGCCCCATTTCTTAATACCATTGCATTGGGGATGAAGTTTCAACATGAATTTTGGAGAAGATACAGTCATTCAAACCATAGCCTCAGGTAACTATTCTGTGTTTGGGGCTGCTCTGGGTTACTTCAACTTGCACATTGTGTAGAACATGGCATCTGCAAGTTAAAGTATCTGGAAAGAACCCCCACCTGGAACAGGGACATCCAATCCCCTTTGTCATATTCAGAGTGTACTAACAGACTCCATTCCACTTCCAGGTTGGGAACTTTGAACCACCTTTTACCCCTTAAGAAACCCGAAAGGCCCTTAAAGCTTATGTGTCCTGGGGCATTGTTCTCCAGAGGGTGTTCAAGACAACCAAACTGTCATTAAGCTGCATGGTGGCACCCATGGTGCATGTGATGACAAACTGTAAAGGCAACTTAAAAGCAGGAAAGAACAGAGAACATGCCATCCCCTGAGACCCAATATTATTCCCTAGAATGATGTGCTTGAGGAGTGGAGCAGTGGAGCTGAATGTGCACTCCAATTAAACATCTCCCTGCCACCAATTTACATATTTATAGCCTAGATTAAGGTGGAGTACGGAATGCCTGGTTTTCTATGAAATAAAGGGGAGTCCTGATCCAGAAAGTAACCTTTATTACTTGGGTGCTCAGTGAGGGAGTTTGAATATCACTGTTGCTAATAGAACTTGCTGTCCTTTTGTGAGCTTGTGCAGACAAGATGAACAAACTTTTCATTAGAAAGGACCATCCCATTGCACGGCCACCAGAGACCAAGGGTTTGTCCTTTCTCAGTCTGCCTTCTGACCTTTAGGATGCATTAACTGTAAGCTTCCCCATTCGGAAAACCAGTCTTGAAACGGAGCCTTCAAAGCTTTCTGACAGCATCTGAGGAGTCGCTGTATAATGAGAGAAGTCTCTAAACATTGTAAAGCACATCATAGGGATTTGAAAAACTCTATTGAGCCAACCCACCATGGAGCCCAGGGCTAAGAGGTGAAAACCTAATGGTGTAGACTGAGAAAGAAAGAGCCTGTAGCCACCCAGCCTGCTCCTGAGATAGTTCAATGTTGAGAGCAGGAGATACTTTCCATAACACGGACTCCATCCGAGGCTATCCACATGACCTGGCAGGAGAGACAAGCCTATTCTGTTCAGGATTGAGGTTCCAGTTGGTTCTGGGCAATGTGCTTTAGGGTAGCCACTAGGTGGCAGATAATGTCTTGGCCTCATGAAGTGCTTATCCGTGTCCAGAATGGTCACATACAGTGGTGAAACTCTGTTTCCTTAATACCACAAGAGAGACCCCAGTGCTGGTCCCAAGAACCTTAATGACCAGTATTCCAGTGGATTTCTGAGTCACTATAAAAGCTACAGAATTATTCCCAGAGTGAGAGAGAGGTTATTACTAGGAGAAGGCATTGCACAGCTGGATATCCACACAAAGAAACAAGTCCCAAGATGGATACCACACAGATTCAAGGTAACGTTCCACCTCCACTTGGCAATGACAGTTTTTCGTGGGATAAAATAACTTGCGTGCATTTAGGTTCTAGTGTTGGGGTGGAGCAAACCTCATTGCTGTACTAGCATGCAGAAGAACACCACCAGGTCTCTTAGGGCATTTACAAGACTGCTGGGAGATGAGATGGCAGAATGGGAGTATCACTACCTATGTGAAAGGATGAAGAAAGTTGAACATGATGAGTGTGGCTGTGAAAGCACTTAAGAGGACAGAGCAAAGAGGGACTCTGGACCTTGCTAGCTATTAGCAATATTCTCAGTGTCACTGGGAATAGGATGCCAGTAAGATCATCAAAGCTCCATTAGATTGGGGATGACAAATTGAGTGTCAAAGGAAGTTTTCACAGTGAGCCACTGCCTGGGAGAGTTCAGAAAACTATTCAGGGATCTCTGTCTATGTAGTCAATACACCATTTGTTTTTTCCTTATTGCTTCTGGATATACTTTTGACTTTCATATGGATCTGTCGCGTTTCTTGATATATTTTCTATTATTTGCAGTTTGGCACCTATTCAATTTCTGGATTTTATATTTTTCAGTTCCTCTACTCATGAACCATAGTTCTATATCTTCCTCAATGGCTCCTAGTACCATCTGATATTTACATGCTTGTGTAGTTCCCTCCTACACTGAATCTAGGCATCTTTAAAAATAGAATTCAGAGAAAATGATATGTGACTTCAGGGCTAGGTCATCAAGTCATGATGGCTTCTATCTTATGCTCTCTGATTACTTGCTCTGTGGAGAGCCAGAACATCCAAGCATTCCATGGAAAGGCCCACATAAAGAAAGATGGAGGCGTCTGACCATTGACCAATACCAACTTGCTGGCCATATGAGTCACTGTGTATTTACGGCACAGTGATAAGCACATAAGTCACCTTCTATGATGGAGAAGAACTGTCATGCCAAGAGGATGTGGAATGTTACCTTGAATCTCTGTGATATGCTTTGTGTATTTTGAGCCACCTTAGGAGTAAATTCTGCAGCCCAATTAAGCCTTCAGATGATTGCATCCCTGGCCAAGATTTGACTGCAACCTTATAAAAGATCCTAAGCCAGAACCTTCCTACCAAGCTGCTCCTGAATTTCTGACCTTGAGGAATAGTTAGAGAGAATAATTACTGTTTAAAGCCACTGAGTTTTAGAATTATTTATTACATAGTGATGTGATTTGGCTCTGTGTCCCCATCCAAATCTCGTCTTGAATTGTAATCCCAACATGTCAAGGAAGAAACCTGGTGGGAGGTGATTGGATCATGGAGGCAGTTTCCCCACTGCTGCTTTTGTGATAATGAGGCAGTTCTCATGAGATCTGATGATTTAAATGTGCCAGTTTCCCCTGCACTCTTTCTCTCCTGCCACCCTGTAAGACGTGCCTTGCTTCCCCTTCATCTTTTGCCGTGATTGTAAGCTTCCTGAGGCCTCCCCAGCCATGCAGAACTGAGAGTCAATAAACCTTTTCTTTATAAATTATCCAGTCTCAGGTATTCTTTATAGCAGTGTGAAAATGGACTAATGCATATAGCAATAGCTAACTAATAGGGAAGATGACATGAGCATAGAGCTACGGAACAAAGCTAAGGTCATTCACTTCAAGAAATTCACAAGACTGAGAACTAATTAAAGAACTGGGAACATGTGCTTGGCTAGATTTCAAAATTGCTATGAACCAGTGACTCCTGTGTACCTCTGTTTTCCCTATTAGTGCAAAAGTGATTATCTTCTGCCTCATTCACCATTTTATGTTGGATGAGTTGGGGTAGAAAATTGTCTTTTCAGTTCAGAGGTGTTCACCCTGAGAGAAACTGTCCCTGAGGAGCTTCATCCACACCTACACCTGGTAAGGAGGAATGATGAGCCTGAGCCTGATGCTGGCATGAATCAAACTTTGGGGGAATCTTTGGAGGGTTTTAGTGTATTTTGCATGTGGAAGGAATGTGGATAATTTGTAGCCAGTGGACAGATGGTGTTGGTTTAAAAACATATTTACAAATGTTTCCCAAAAAAGTGGAGTCTAATTCTCCCACTTTTTGAATACGTCAGCTTTAGGCAATTGCTTCTAATTAGTAGAATGCAGTAGAAATGATTCTATGTGGTTACAAAACCAGGATAGAAAACATCATAGCATTACTGTCTGGCTCTCACTCTGTACTTTAGCCCTTGGAACCCAGACACCATGCTGTGAGGATGCCGAGACCACACAGAGAAGTCACATGTGAGTTTTCTGGCAAATAGCCCTAGCTAAGGTTCTAGTCAATGGCAGCAACAGCTTCCAGACATGAGTGAGGGAGCTTTCAGATGATTCTAGCCTCTGTACTTCAGTTCTCAGAATTGATGTCAGGTGGATTAAGGACTGTACTATCTCAGCCATATTTTGCTCAAATTGTAGATTTATGAGCAAAATAATTGTTGTAAAACACCAAGTTTAGGAGTCATTTGTTACACAGCCAAAGTAATTGAAACAGGGTACTCTGTCCTTTCTTTCTTGGTTCCCTTTTTTTTCCTTTCTACATAGAATCCTGAGACATTCTGGGGCCCCTTTTCATTATTTGCTCCTATAAGACAGAGTAATATCAGCTTCCCTCAGTGAAGAAAGCAAATGCAAACCACTGCCCATTTGAGAAGGGCATGCCCATATGAAATCATCATGCATTCTCTGCATCAAGGCATATTATCAGCTATTCTCTTTGATGCCCAAGTTCTCATATAGCTATGTTAACAGAGCAACCATCTCAAAATGGCAACTGCCTCAGTGAGGTACTCCAATTTATAATCTCAGGAATATCTCCTAACGGGGATATGTACAGTCCTGAGTCACTTACTGATGAGGACACATCCTGAGAAATGTATCATTAGGCCATTTCATTGTGCAAATCTCAGAGTGTACTTATACAAACCTAAATGGCGGCCAGGTGCGGTGGCTCACGCCTGTAATCCCAACACTTTGGGAGGCTGACGCGGATGAGTCACCTGAGGTCAGGAGTTCAAGACCAGCCTGGCCAACATGGTGAAACCCTGTCTCTACTAAAAATACAAAAATTAGCCAAGCGTGGTGGTGAGTGCCTGTGGTCCCAGCTACTTGGGAAGCTGAGGCAGGAGAATCGCATGAACCCAGGAGGTGGAGGTTGCAGTGTGCTGAGTCGCGCCACTGCACTCTAGCCTGGGCGACAGAGTGAGGCTCCGTCTTGGGGGGAGGGGGGCAGGGGTGGGGGTGAGGAAAAACCTAAATGGCATAACCTAATACACATTGAGGTTATATTTTATAGCCTATTGTTCCTAAGCTACAAACCTGAACAGCATGTTATTGTACTAAATACTATAGGCAAAGAACACAATAAGTATTTGTATATCTCAACGTATCTAAGCATAAAGAAGATAAAATGTTACAGTTGTATAGGACATTTACCATGAATAGAGCTTGCAGGTCTGGAAGTGGCTCTGGGTTGAGTCAGCGAGTGAGTAGTGAGTAAATGTGAAGGCCTAGGACATTACTACACTCCTTTAGACTTCATAAACACTGCATACGTAGGCTACACTAAACTTATTTTTAAAACTTTTTTCCATAACAAATTAACCTTAGCTTGCTGTAACTTTTTTTACTTTATAAACTCTTTAAATTTTTAAAACTTCTTGACTCTTTTGCAATAATACTTAGTAAAACACAAACACATTGTACAAATGTACCAGAATATTTTCTCTATATCCTTATTTTATAAGCTTTCTTCTGTTTTTAAAATTCTATTTGTTTTTTACTTTTTAAACTTTTTGTTAAAACTAAGACAGAAACACTCATTAGCTTAGGCCTACACAAGGTTAGGATCATCAATATCACTGTCTTCTACTTCCACATCTTGTCCCACTGGAAGGTCTTCAGGGGCAATAGTAACATGCATGGAGCTGTCATCTTCTATAATAACAACACTGTCTTCTGAAATGCTTCCTGAAAGGCCTGCCTTAGCTATTTTAGAGTTATTTGGAAAAAAATTACACTTTTAAAATGACAAAATACAGTATAATAAAATCAGTAACATAGTCATTATCAAGTATTATGTACTAGACATAATTGTACGGTATGTATTTTTATATAATTGACAGTAGGTTTATGCCAACATAATCACAAACATACAAGTAATGCATTGCACTAAAATGTAATGATGGCTACAACATCACCAGGCAATAGCGATATTTCAGCTCCATTGTAATCTTATAAGACCACCATTGTGTATGCAGTTCATCATTAGCCGCATATACAATGTCATGAAGTGCATGACTTCCCAAATCCACCAAGTTCTTGATCAAGAATTGGACAGAAATAGCCTTCCCCCACATTAACCAACCTAGGCAATCAGTTCTCTATTCTTTTGACAAGGGTCACATGTTATTTTACCTATTGCTTATTATGCAGCATCATTCAATAAAACTAATGCCATCACTTCTTCATTCAAAATAACATCCCAAGCCTTTAAACACCCCTCTGCAGGCTGCTGATAGCCCTCCCGGAAAGACTTAGTTTTCATATGGAATCTGGTACCTCCTCCCAGTGATGATTCCCCTCACTCCCTGTACAATATGCCCTACGATAACTGGTTTCAAACTGCCTCCATGGCTGCAATAACAGTCATTCTTTTTTCCCTCATGGAAGAACTCCCTCTGTGTCTGAGGTGGCCAAGTGACTGTCCTATTGGCAACACTGAAGGTGGTGGGTACAGAACCATGCCCATCCATCCCATCTCCAGGTCAAGTGATTGACTTTAGTAGCTGCCCTAGATGCAACAACAGTATTTTTCCTGTTTTCCTTTCCTCCTCCTCTTGAGGGCTCAAAAACACATCCAAATGCAAAGGAATCAGGGGAAATTCATTAGCAATGCTATCTCCCTTCAAGGCCCTCTCACAGCACTTCTACCCTTCTTCCATGATCCGCAGCACCATCCAGCCACCTCAGCGAAGGGAACTTGCCCCTACTCCAAGGTCAAGGAGTAGGGCATATCTCCCACCTTGGCCCAGCTAAACTCTTTCCCTGATTGCAAAATATCAGGTCAAATGACACTGGCAAGGATCCCACAGTGTGTATCAAACATTATGTATGATACATGGCGACCTACACCACGATGCATCCATGGTGTAAACAATGATAGTATTTATTGGGAACAACTTTATGAGCATAGATGAAATACAGTGCATAAGAGTAAGGTATGTTTGGGCTGGGCACAGTGGCTCACGCCTGTAATCCCAGCACTTTGGGACGCCGAGGTGGGCAGATCATGAGGTCAGGAGATCGAGGCCATCCTGGCTAGCACGGTGAAACCCCGTCTACTGAAAATACAAAAAAAAATTTAGCCAGGCATGATGGTGGGCACCTGTGATCCCAGCTACTCAGGAGGCTGAGGCAGGAGAAGCATGAACCCGGGAGGCGGAGCTTGCAGTGAGCCGAGTTCACGCCACTGCACTCCAGCCTGGGTGACAGAGTGAGACTCCATCTCAAAACAAAAACAAAAACAAAAACAACAGCAACAAAAAAACACACAGTGAGGTATGTTTAAGCCAGTAGAAGTATAAGTGCTAAAAATAGCACTCCAGTAGAGAAAACTTGCCCCACACTGCTTTATCTATACTGGCTAGGCTGAGAGTGATAAGAGACACCTATATATCTATATAACAAAGGCGTTTACTGTTACGAACCTAAAGCTGAGCTATGGAGTGTCTATTATCAATGCCGCAGGTATCAGCTGGAAGACCTGCTGCAGGAAGAAAGGAAGGTTAAGGGTCTGCATGGATGTAGGGACCAAAGGTTAGTCTCTTCTCACAGGCAGATGATGAGAGCACTGGCATTGCTCATGTTGGGACTAAATGAATAGGGGCAAAGGACGGCTCAGAGTATAGGGTTTGTGAGGATTTAGTTACATGGAGTAGGTTTCCCCATCAAGCCAACCCAGGACATCTCCCAGGAGCTCTCAAACTCCTGAGAGCCCTTCTTTCCCTCTCCACTCACCAACACAGGGCCTCAGTGTACCCAACCTCTTTGTGTTTCAGTTTGGCTGATTCCCATGATCCTGTCTTCAAGTTTACTAATTCTTGTCTTCACTGTGTTGAGTCTGTTGATGAGCATGAAAAGGAATTTTAAATTTCTTATTGTGTTTGTCATTTCTTGTGTTTTCACTTAATTATTTCTTTGCTTCCATAGCTCTGCTGAAATTAACATCTGATTATGTGCCTTGTCCACCTTTTCCACTAGATCACTTGACATTAGTCATGGTTATTTTAAATTCCCTAATAGTTCTAACATCTGTGCCATATCTGAATCTACTGGTGATTGATTTGTCTCTTGATAGTGTGGTTTTTGTCCTTGCTGTTTTTTGTAAGCCACACAACTTTTTGCTGAAAGTCAGTTACCTTGCATAAGAAAGTAGAGACTATGCCTTAATCCCAGCTACTCAGGAGGCTGAGGCAGGAGAATTCGCTTGAACCCAGGAGGCAGAGGTTGCGGTGAGCTGAGATCGTGCCATTGCGCTCCAGCCTGGGCAACAGGAGTGAAACTCCGTCTTAAAAAAAAAAAAAAAAAAAGTAATGCCTGGAAATGGGCCTACTTTTCCTTCTGCTGGGCATTTACCAATTGGGGGTTGAGCCAATCTACTCAGGAGTAGATGGTTAACTCCTACTCAGGAGTTACAGTGACCAGCCCCTACTTACAGATCTGCCCCCAACCCACCTCCTCAATCCCCCAACACATATTCTTACTCATCCCTGTGGATAGAGGTCTTGTTCAGTTTCTGTTCTTCAGCTGTGATGGTTTTTCACCAGTTCCCTAAAAGCACATAATTTGCTGTTCTTAGGTAGCTTATGCTTTTTGTTTGATGAGGGAAATAGAGGAGAAGATCCAAGAATAGATGCTTCATATCCTTTCCCCCAGTGGCTACTGTTCCCACAAGGGATGCTTTATTAAGACTCTTGCTCTGCCTCCAATATTTTTTGTGACTGTGAACTCAAGGTATGTGGCAATACCCTGCAGGGGACTGTAAATTGCCTTTATGTCTTTGTCTCACAGGGACTCTCTCCCTAGCTCACATGTGATCTTTAGCAATTGGTTAATATTAGCTGGTTTCTTCTTGCTGATGTCTGGCAATATCTACCCCAGTTAAGAAGTGCTCATGACTGTCTCTCCTTAAACACGTCTATATTCCTTAGATTTTATTGTCTGAAACTTCAGCTCTCCCATGGGTTCAAGATGAGTTGTAAATTTGACAATAGTCTGGCATTTTGTTGTTCTTGCTGTTGTAAGGATTAGAAGGATGTCCTCTCCATCTTTTTATATCCTAAGAAGAAAGCAGAAATACCTCTCACTTCTTTTAAATGAATCAATACAAGCTACTGATCTTTCCACGGTAAACAAACAAAAGTGAGTCACTTAATGAATTAAGTCTTTAATAGTGTATGATGCCTCATATTAATTATATAATACTTTTACTTCAGGTAAAAGTATTTAAGGTATATTTCTTGGCCCTTAGTAGGTAGTTGAATCAATTATCTGCCATTATTCTTTCAAGGCAAATGTTCCTGAATTACCCAAGGTGAATGTTATTTTTAGCCTGTATTCTTCTTGTCCAGGTAATTGTTCATTTCATTTATTTTTCTTATTTCCCCAGTTAATTGCTTTAAACAACATTCTTTAATCTTGCATTTTCCTCATCTATAACATTTTATGATATTCCTGCACAGGAATCTGATTGGTAAAATTGAGGCAACTTGGCATATACAAAAGCATAATATCTAGGCACCAAGAAGTCTAGAATGATTGACAGCTTTGACATAATTGCCTCATTGTACTAATGAAATAACACTCCAATTCTGTCCATTTTGCTATGTTCATTATGGAATGTGAGTTACACAGTGACGAAAAAAATTAGAAGATATTGATAAGATATTTTAGTCTTGTAAGCTATCATTTATAAAATTTTCTGAGTCAGGTTTGGATAAAACAAAACCTATTCTTGTGATATTGATGGATATTATGGGGTCAATAAAACCCTAAGATGATGTGAACTGAAATCTTCGTTGTCACTAAGAGATCATGGCTATCCAGGGAGTGGTGAAGCTTCTTGTATCATATAATCCTGAAGAAAACTATATTCTTGGCATTTTCCCTTTAGATAAAATTATCTTATGAAAAAGCGTGGGTCTCCAGCTGAAGCAGACATAAAAACCAGGTCTTATCATATGCCATAAAAGAAAACATTATTTAAAAATATTTTTTTGATTATACAAGTAGTATAATTTTTAAAATATAAAACATCTATCAGAGTTGAGAAAGAAATTTTAGATCTTTTAAAAATAGAATAAGAAAATCTAGCCTGGTAGCCTTAATGGTTATATTTCTTTGTAGAGACACACACATAAATATCCATATATAAGCAATCTTAACCTTAAAAATAATATATATGCATGTTTATATATATATTATCAGTGTCATAATATATACAGTTTTTTATCCTGCTTTCTTCAATCTTATTACATCAGAAATATTTTCCCATGTCATCAAAAACTCTTCATAAATATTTTTTAGTGGCTGAATACTATTCTGTTTTATAGTTGTGCCACAACTGGTTATAAGCCTTTTGTGTATTAAGGTTGTTTCCACTGTTCCAGTATTGAAAATAATGCCATGATGAGCTTATTTATATATAAATCTTTATCTTCATTTTTGATTACTTCTTAGAATCCATTCGTGGAAGTAAAATTACTGATTCTAAGGGGATGAAATTTTTTATAGTTCATGACAGATATTTACAAATCATGTTCTGGAAAGTTTTAACAAATAACATTGCTACCAGTAGTTTGAGTACTGAATACTGTTATTTTAAAAATCCTTGTCAGTGGTGAATCATGAAGAATAGTATCTAATATTTCACTTTTCATTTATTTGCTTAACACTGGATCTGTAATTTTTTCCACTTTTTTGTGCCATTTGCTTTTCATTTTTAATGAAGTGCTTATTGATGTTGTCTCTTTTTATTGATATCGTTAGTGTTTCTCACTGATCTGTAGGATTCATAATGAATAAATAAATATTTGACAATATATTTTCTTCTTATTTCTACTTTTTGGTTTTCCTATGTGACCACCATTTTGCATTCCCAACAAAAATGTATAAGCCCTCCAGTTGGTTTATATCCTTGCTGGTGATTTGATATTTTCAGCTTTTTAAAATTTTTAGACATTCTGAAAGGTGTTTAGTGGTATCTCACTGTGGTTTTATTTTGCATTTTCCTAATGGTTAATGATGTTGAGAGTATTTTTCAGGGGTTTATTTCCCATGTGTATCTTCTTTGTTGAAGTGTCTGTTGAAATCGTTTGTTCATTTTTATAAGTTTGATTATTTGCTTATTCCTGAGTTTTGAGGGTTATCTACTCTGGATATAAGTCTTTTTCAGATATATGACTTGCAAATATTTTCTTGAAGTTCATGGCTTGCATTTTTATTCTGTAGACAGTATGTTTTGCAGAGCAGATGTTTTTAATGTTGGAGAAGTATAATACATTTTGTTGTTATTTAATGGACCATGCATGCCTTTGGGATTATATCTAGAACTCTGGTACAATATCACAATGATTGCCCCATTTGTTTTCATTTAAAAGTTTTATAGCCTTAGATTGTCTATGATTCATTTTGAATAACTTTTTATGAGATGTGAAGTATATTTGAGTATCTTTTTTTATATGAATATTCACTTGTTCCAGAAACATATGAAAATACTATTCTTTCTCCAGTGAATTGCCTTCGTGACTTTGTCAAAAGTGAATTGACCATATGTATGTGGGTCTATTTCTGGACTCTATTCTGTTTCTTAATCTATGTATATAATCTTTCAGCAATATCACAGTGACTTGATTTTTGTAGGTTTAAAATAGTCTTAAAACGAGGTAGTATGGGTCTTCTGACTTCATTTTCAAGATAGTTTTGTCTCTGCTACTTTCTTTGCCTTTCCATATAAGTAATAGAACCAATTTGCAATATCTATAGGAGATTCTGCTGGGATTTTTTATAGCATTGAATCTATAATCAATTTGGAGAAAACTGATGTCATAAACAACACTGTGTCTTTAATCCATGAACATAGTATATATCTCCATTTATTTGGTTCTTTGATTGTTTTCATCAGTATAGCTTTCCAAATACAGATTCTATACATATTTTGTTAAATTTATACTTAAGTATTTCTTGAATTTTGGTACCATTGTATTTTGTTTCAAATTTTGATTTCCAGTTGTTCATTTCTAGTATAAAGAAATGTGACTAAATTTTGTGTTGATCTTATATCCTAGGGTCTTGCTAAACTCACCTATGAGTTCTAGGAGCTTTTTTGCATATTCTTTAAAGTTTTCTACGTAGACTATTATGCTGTCTGTGAATAGAAACGTTATATTTCTTTCTTTCCAATCTATATCCCCTCAATTTGCTGACTAGAAATTTCAGCAAAATGTTGAATAGAAATGCTAAGTATGAACATCTTTTTTTTTCCCTGACATTAGGAGAGAAAGCATTAAATTGTCTGCTATTAAGTAGGATGTTTGCTGCAGGTATTTTGTAGATGTACTTTATCAGGTTAAAGCAGTTCCTTTCTTCTAGTCCCAGTTTGCTGAGTTTTTTTTTAAATCAAAAATGGCTTTTAAGTTTTGTCATTCTTTAATTGCATCTATTGGTAGGACTATATGATTTTTTAAATATATGAATATAGTAAATTACATTGATTTTTTTTGAATGTTGAATTGATCTTGCATTACCAGAATAAGCTAGATTTGGTTGTGAGGTATTATAATTTTTATATATTGTTAGATTTGATTTGTCAATACTTTGTTGAACAGTTTTCTGTATTTATGTTCTCAGGAGATATTGGTTTGAAGTTTATTTCCTTGTGTGTCCAGAGTTGGTTACTTCCAGTGGGTTCTTGGTCTCACTGACTTCAAGAATGAAGCCAGGGACCTTCGCAGTGAGTGTTACAGCTCTTAAAGGTGGCATGGACCCAAAGAGTGAGCAGCAACAAGATTTACTGTGAAGAGCAAAAGAGCAAAGCTTCCACAGTGTGGAAGGGGACCCGAGCGGGTTGCAACTGTTGGCTGGGGTGACCAGCTTTTATTCCCTTATTTGTCCCTGACCATGTCCTGCTGATTGGTCCATTTTACAGAGTGCTGATTGGTCCATTTTATGGAGTGCTGATTGGTCCATTTTACAGAGTGCTGATTGGTCCATTTTTACAGAGTGCTGATTGGTGTGTTTACAATCCTTTAGCTAGACACAGAGCATTGATTGGTGCATTTTTAGAGTGCTGATTGGTTTAATTACAATCCTGTAGCTAGACACAGAGTGCTGATTGGTGCATTTTTACAGAGTGCTGATTGGTGCATTTACAATTCTTTAGCTAGACACAGGGGACTGACTGGTGCATTTACAATCTTCTAGCTAGACAGAAAAGTTTTCCAAGTCCCCACTGGACCCAGGAAGTCCAGCTGGCTTCACCTCTCAATCCACCCTCTAAATAGTACATCCCAAATGCTGTTGGGAATTGGGCGATGACCACTCTAGCTACTTCCTGCTGGATAGGGGCAAAGAAGGGGCCCTGCAGTTGTAGTTTCCTCCAGAGGGGAATTCTTTAGGCCAGCCAAAGGGCCAGTGGGTCGATCCAGGGGTCCTTGGTAGAAGTTGTTAGTTGAGCTCAACTAACAACTTACAAACGGGGTTCCATTTGTAAGACCTTCTGTAGCTTGATGGCCTCCATCCTAGGGGAAACAAATTTGACAAGGAGGTTAAAAATGCAGGGCCCAAAGGCGAGTAATAGCAAGATGGCTGTCACGGGACCTAGAAAGGGGAGAAACCATGTCGCCCAACTCCAGAAGTTGGTAAAAGAGTTTGAAAGGCGTTGTCTGATTTCAGAAGCCTTTTCTTGTAAATGCCGGGTGGCATCTTGTACTGTCCTTGACTGGTTAGTGTAAACAAAACACTCTTCCCCTAAGAAGGTGCAGAGTCCTCCTTTCTCAGCAGCAAGGAGGTCTAGGCCTCGGTGGTTTTGGAGAGTCACTGCTGCCAAAGAGCCTATTTGGGATTGTAGAGTAAGGATAGATTTTGTTATTTCTTGCAAACTGTCTGAGAAATCCTTTGAGAGTGTGTGGTAGTAGGATAATGAAATAGATAAACTGGCTATTCCGGTTCCTGTAGCAGTAGCATTCCTAACCCTATAAGTAGGGGTATTAGTCGTATGGCTCTGTGCTGATGGACTTGAGATTTGAGGGGTACTGATAGGGTCTGATTTCCTGGGGCAATGTTAATGTTAGGACTTAGGAAGACTAAGGTGCAGGTGCCTGTCCAGTTAGTGGGGAGGCAGATATAGGTTGATGTTCCACATAAGAAGAATATACCTTGGCTGGATAGACAGAACTAGTTGTGTATGTTAAAAAGGTATGTGAGTTTGTCGTTTTTATTTTCCCATGCTCCTAGAGTACTTGCCAAGGTAGCTCCAGTGAGTGGCTGGAAAGGGGTGTTGAAAGCAAACTGAGTGGCTCCCTGTGTTCTGTTTTCTCCATGGAGAAAAAAACCGTTTTGTATCTACTAGGAACCATTCAAGAGAATGATTGAAAGAGGGGATGAGAAGGCATTCACTAGTGGTGGGGGCGCTGCTGCAGGGGGTCCAGGGGTGAATGGTCATGCAGGGAGTACGTTTGCCATTACAAAACCTGGACTATTTGTTAAGCAGGGAGGAGGTAATGATTTTTGGAGGCCCTGAGAAGCGGACAAGCCATCCGAATGGAGCTGTTTGGGGGACTTGGAAGTTACTATGATCAGTTGGGGCTTGAAGTTGTAGGGTGAAATTACACAGATGGGGTAGTAGGTGCCCCAGGGGCAGGCCTGGTAACAGGTTGCGTTAGATGCATAAAGGGGCTTGGAAAGTTAAGATGGTATTCACAGTTACAGGGCTATGTATGGGCTTTTCATTGCTTGTGTAATAGGTGAGGTTGGAAATATAAGAACATAAAAGTTGGACTGCACGTCCTGTTAGGGTATTCTTGGTCCCATCAAAGATGGGGAAGTTGGTTAATGATTGCATATTTAGAAGTCAGAAAGGGTCTTTTCCTTCATAACGAGGGTGGTAGGTTAAGTTGGTAAAGACCCAGTTTTTTTGCAGGAACAGGAATGGCAACCTAAGCATAGGTTGATAGAGAGATACAAGGCCAACAGTCATTTGCCATGGAAGGATTGAACTGGTTTAACAGAGAGTGGGTTAAGTTGAGAGTCTTGTAGAGGTAAATAGGAGCTAGTGGAAGAGGAGGGGTGATTGTATGGGTTATGCAAGGAAGCAGGAGGGATAGATAGGCAAAGAGTAAATAGGAAAGTAAAGAGGGTGCTCTGGAAGATGAGATCATTTTATCCAGTTTGTGTTAAAGGTAGGAGTAAATTGCTGTCAGAAGGAAGGAAGATAGAAAGAAGGTTGATGTGATTAGGGTTTTCATCCCTGCAGGAGCTACAGTATATAGACCTATTGCAAAGAGTATGGTTAGTATGCTGCTTAATAATAAGATGAAATAGTAAAAGGATTCCATTAAAGGGGTAAGGAGAGGTGTTAAAGATTATGTAGGTTTTCACTTACCTTTTTTAAGGAGGAATGGGGCTTTTCCTCAGGATCAGTGGTAGGAGCCTTTTTAGTCTGGGATGTTTCCTTTCAAAATAGGAGATACAAGTCCTCCAACAGTTCACAGGTGTATCGAGGCTGGTCTGGCTGATCTGGCTGATCTTGGGACTCCCGAGCTAATGGTCCCACAGGGGATGTCCAAAGTTTAACTCGGGTGTGGTGAATCCAAGATTCCACTCCTGCCACCTTAACTGCAGTGGGGGTAAAAAGGATTACCAAATATGGTCCTTCCCACAAAGAATCCATAAATGGGGAGGTAGAGGGGAGAGATTTGACCAGCACTAGATCTTCTGGTTGAAACAACCTTGTTCCCTTTTCTCTGTGACATCCTTCAGGTAAGTTTTTAAGGTTTCGTTGATACTTTGCCAAAAAAGTTATATCTTTGACCAAGTTCCTGATCAAGTAGGAGGTCATTTTTGAGAAAAGATCATCCATACAGCATTTCATATGGACCCAGCCTCATTTTATGAGGAGAATTTCGGATTTTCAACAAGGCCATGGGCAAAAGAGTAGGCCATGGGAGATGAGTTTCTTGTGTTAGTTTCCTTAAGTGCCTCTTGAGTGTTTCATTTGCCTTCTCGACCTTCCCTGAGGATTGTGGCCTCCAGGCACAGTGAAGGTGATGTATCCCTAGCATCGTGGAAATTCCCTGAGTTATCATGGCTTTAAGAGCCATACCATTGTCACTCTGTAATCTTTGGGGAAGCCCAAATCTAGGAATTATTTCATGAATTAGGACTTTAACCACTTCCTGAGCCTTCTCTGTCTTATAGGGGAAGGCTTCTATCCAATTTATAAAGTTATCAAAGGACCAACAAGTATTGAAATCCCTTTGACTTAGGCATATGGGTGAAGTCTAACTGCCAGTCCTCTCCTGGATAGTGACCTATTCTTTGTTCCCCCAGAGGAGCCTTACAATGGACCAAGGGATTATTGCTTTGGCACACCTCACGGGCTTTGACTACCTGTCAGATGGTCTGGAGGAGATTTGGCCCTGTAAATAGGGACTTGGCCACTTGATGAGTGTTCTCAATACCCGTATGAGAAGTTTGGTGGAGGATTTTAAGTATGTTCCACTGGCTGGCTTTGGTTATGAGTACCTTTCCTTCTTCTGTTGTCAAGCACCCTGAGAGGAGAAAACTATGCCCCCATGAAAGTCCCCATTCTGTTTCAATTGGGGAATACTGGGGCTTGATCTCTTGGACGGGATTGTTCCATACCAAGGGTCCTTCCATAGGTATTTCTAATGGGAGGTTCCACCTGGCAGCAATTCTGGCCTCAGCATCTGCCTGACGGTTTCCTTCTGCCTTTTCTCCTTCATCTTTTTGATGGCTTTGGCAGTGTAAGACCACCACCTCCTTGGGTTTTTGCACTGCGTGCAATAACTCCATGATTTCCTTGTGGTATTTAATGGGGGTTCCCCCAGAAGTTAGGAACTCCCTATCTTTCTATATTGCAGCATGGGCATGTAGGATTAGATAAGCATACTTACTATCTGTAGCAAAGTTTCCTAATTACAACTGAGGAGGTGGGAGAAATACCTGGTTACAGGCTGTCCCAGGATTCCTTGGATGGTAACGGACCTTGAGGACAGTCGTCCAGGACAGGAGATTAACACTGAGAAGCCCACACCAGTGTCCAGGAGGAAGTCAGTTTCCTGGCCCTTAATGGTTAAACTTACCCGGGCTCAGTGAGGGTGATGACATGAGCTGGCGCTTGCCTTGGGCACCCTCAGTCCTGTTGTTGGATCATCTGGTTGGGGGCTTCTGGCCCAGAGAACCTTTATCCTCTGGGGCAGTGCGCCTTCCAGTGATTGCTTCAGCATAGTGGACATGGGTGAGGGGGCAGCTTGTTTCTTGTTGGACAATATTTTGTAAGGTGTCCCTGCAAACCACACCGGTAACAAGCCCTACTGGGTGATAGGCCTGCTCCATTTTCTGTCCTTTCTGAACCACCAAGGTTTGTTTGTCTGAGGGCCATGACTAAGGCTGTGGCCTTTCTCTGATCTCACTTTTCCTTTTCTGCCTGTTCCTCTTGGTCCCTGTTATAGAACACCAAGTTTGCCAGGTTTAATAATGCCTCCAGATTTTGTTAAGGGCCAGGGCTCACTTTTGGAGCTTTCTCCTGATATCTGTGACTGACTGGGTGATAAACTTATCTTTTAGGATCACTTGACCCTCGAGCGAGTCAGGTGACAGGTATATTTTCTTAAGGCCTCCCGTAGCTGCTTGAGGAAGGTAGAAGGATTTTCTTCCTTTCCCTGAGTTATGGTGGACATCATTGAATAATTCATGGGCTTTTTCCTAATTCTACTTAGTCCTTCTAGAACACAGGTCAACAGATGTTTGCGACTCCAGTCCCCATGATCTGAGTCTAGGTCCCAGTGGGGATCCATACTGGGGATGGCTTGCTGACCAGCAGGGAATTTGTCCCTTTCTTCTGCTGTCATTCTGTCATTTACTTGGCTAAGACACCAGGTATCTCCAAACTCTCAGGCTGCAGCTAAAGCCGCATTCTTTTCATTAAAGGCCAGGGTTTGATCTAACAACAGCATGACATCTCTCCAGGTGAGATAGAAGGTGTGCCCTAGACCCTGTAGGACACCTATATATATATCAGGATCATCTGAAAACTACCCCAGGTCTGCCTTGATCTGCTTTAAATCAGAGAGGGAGAAGGGGACATGTAGCCAGGTTGGGGCAAATTCCCCTCGCCTTACAGCTTGAAGGGGACATAACTGATAGCCTGGGGGTTTTTGTGGTCCCTTGGAGATTTCTTTGCTTCTTTCCTTCTGGGCAGGGGGAGATTAGAGGAGGCTTATCATTAATAGGAAGGGGAGCTACAGGGAGGCTAGGATATGGAGGTAAGCTGAGAGGTCCTCTTGTGGGATGTAAATTGCACACTTTGCATAGTTGTGGATTCTCCTTCAATGAAAAGAAAGCTTGGACATAAGGTATTTAACTCCATTTGCCTTCCCTTTTACAGAAAAGGTTGAGCTGCAGGATAGTATTGTAATTTATACATCCCTCAGGTGGCCATTTTTCCCCATCAGAGAGAGAATATTGGAGCCAGGCTGCAGTGTGGAAAAAAATGAGCCACCTCTTTTTCAGGGTTTGAGGGTCAAATTGGTCCCAATGGCTTAGGATGCATTTCAAGCGTAAGCCTGTTGATGCCTGAGTGCTTCCCAACTGAAAGAAAAAAACGCCCATGGTTTTGGTTTGTTCCCGCCCCCCCCACTGCCCAAGAACCCACAGCGGCCCCTGGACCCTGCTAATTGGAATAGTCACACTCACCGACGCAGCAGTAGAAACACCTCTTGCCCAAGAACCCGCAACGGTCCCTGGACCCTGCTGATCAGAATAGTTGTGCTCACCAATGCAGCAGCAGAAACCCCTCTTGCCCAAGAACCTGCAACGGTCCCTGCACCCTGCTCATGGGAATAGTTACGCTCACTAGTGCAGCAGCAGAAACACTAGTTTTCCTCCTAGACCACAAGGAGGACTGAGGAAGGTTGGATTTAGTGGCCCTTACTGACACATTCTCAAAAACCTGCACCCTTGCCTGTCCTCTTAAACCATAAGGAGGACTGAGAAAAATCAGATTTATTGGCGCTTACTGACGCATTCTCAAAAACCTGTTAGAGTCCTAAGCATTCTCCTGTTAGTAATGAGACCTTACCCCTGTCCTATAAAGATGTTATGCTCCCAAAATGAAGTGGAGGGCCATACCCTGAGGGAGGGAAGAGATCTCCAGGGTTGGAAGAGTGACGCCTTTTGTCCTCACTTCTCATCATATGAATAGGAAGTGTATCATTTCTGAGGCTCCCCATATCTTGGCTTCAGGAATAGCCTTTGTTAGGCCTGCTAGTCTGAGGAGGGATCCTAAAATTCCAGATAGTCCCCCACCCCCGACGGGTCTTTGGGCAAAAATTATGTCTTTCTGATTGGTGAGTCTGGGTGCCTAAAGAAAGGAACCAAGTCCCGAAATTTCTACTAGAAATTATCTTATAGGAGAAACTAGAAAAGCAACAAAGACAGGGAGTGGTTTTAGAAGCAGGACTAGCCTCGGAGAAGAGAGGCAGGAGGAAGTTTGTCTGGCAGACATTAGGATCCAGGAGGCAAGGGTCAGGATAGATAGGATAGATGGGCGAGTCTCGCTTGGGCAACATGATGTTGAGAGTTCTGCTGATGGCTACAGGGTCAACCAACTTTTTGTCAGGCCCTCAGAGCTGAATGGCTTTCCTCTCTATCGACCCTCAGCTCAGCCCAGAAGTACAGGAAAAGCGGAAGCTGGTTCCAGGCAAACCAATGCTCCCAACTCCGAAGAGTCTGGGGTTGTTAGAGAGCCCTTTCCCAGAAAGCCTGACACCATGTCTTTAGCCTGGCGGCTGCGCTAGTCACTTTTAACTGGCCAGCAGATGCCTGGTATTTAGCCCCCAAATTCTAAGGAAAAATAGGACAGAATAGCAAGTGAAAGGTGTCTGATGGTACTCACCACTTGGCTATGGTCCCCTCCCGGCCACCAAGATGTGTCCCAGCTGGATTGCCAAGATGTGTCCAGAGTTGGTTCCTTCTGGTGGGTTTTTGGTCTCACTGACTTCAAGAATGAAGCTGTGGACCTTTGCAGTGAGTGTTACAGCTCTTAAAGGTGTCACTGACCCAAAGAGTGAGTAGCAACAAGATTTATTGTGAAGAGTGAAAGAACAAAACTTCCATGGTGTGGAAGGGACCCAAGTGGGTTGCTGCTGCTGGCTGTGGTGGCCAGCTTTTATTCCCTTATTTGTCCCTGCCCACGCCCTGCTGATTGGTCCATTTTACAGAGTGCTGATTGGTCCATTTTTGATTGGTGTATTTTTACAGAGTGCTCATTGGTGCATTTACAATCCTTTAGCTAGACACAGAGTGCTGATTGGTGCGTTTTTACAGAGTGCTGATTGGTGAATTTACAATTCTTTAGCTAGACACAGTGCTGATTGGTGCGTTTACAATCCTCTAGCTAGACAGAAAAGTTCTCCAAGTCCCCACTTGACCCAGGAAGTCCAGCTGGCTTCACCTCTCACTTGTGCTTTCTCTGTCTGGTTTTCATATCAGGGTAATGCTGACTTTATAAAATGCATTAGAAACTAATCCCTTCTTTTCTGTGTTCTGTACTAGACTGTGTAGTGTCAGTTTTATTTTCTTTCTTACCTGTTTGTTAGAACTTGCCAGTGAAGCAATTTGTGCCTAAAGTTTGTTTTGTTGGAATGTTCTAAATTACAAATTCACTTCCTATAATAGGTACAGTACTATTTAAATTATCTATTTTTTTCTTGAACATTTTGGTAGTTTGTGTCTTCCAAGAAATTGGTTAGTTTTCTGAAAGTGAAGAAAATGGGAAAAGATATTCCATGCAAATGGAATAATAAAAGAGCAAGGGTAGCTGTGCTTATATGAAACAAAATAGACTTTAAGTCAAAAAACTGTACAAGGAGAAAAAGTCATATAATGATAAAGGAGTCAATTCATCAAGAGGATAGAACAATTTTTAATGTATATGTACCCAATATCAAAGCACTTATATATAGTAGAATAATGTTATTAGAGGAATTTCAGTACCCCACTTTCAACAATGAACAGACCACCTAGACATAAAATTAATAAGACAGCATTGCACTTGAATTATACTTTAGACTAAATGGAACTTTAGACATGTACACAACCATCCAACAGCAATAGAATACACATTCTTCTCAGGTACATGTTACCCACAATAAAGAAGGTTAGGTCACAAAACAAGTGTTAACAAATTTTAGACAATTGAAAATTCTATCAAGTGTATTTTCTGATTACAGTGACACCAACTTAGAAATTGATAACAGGATAAACCGTTAAAAATTCATAAACAAGGAAATCAACATGTTTTAAACAACAAATGTGTCAATGAAGAAATCAAAAAGGAAATAAAAAATATCAAGACAAAAATAGAAACGCAACATACCAAAACTTACAGGATGTGGCAAAAGCAGTTCTAAGAGGGAAATCTATAACAAATTCCTATATCAGAAAAGAAGAAAGATGTCAAATAATCTAATGTCATACATCAAGGAACTAAAATAGATCAACAAATTAAACCCAAAGTTAGCTGAAGGAAGGAAAGAGCAAAGATCAGAGAAAAATAAATGAAACAGACACTAGTAAAACAATAGATAACAAAGAAGAAATGGGTTTCTAAAAGAATAAACAAAATTGAGAAACAGGGAGGGAGAGGCAGAGCAAGACGGAGCAATAGAAGGCTCCACCGATCATCCCCTGGCAAGGACACCAAGTTAACAACTGTCTACACAGAAGAAGAAGAAGAAGAAAAAAACCTTAATAAAAACAAAAAATCAGGTGAGCACTCGTAGTATCTGGTTTTAACTTCATATCGCTGAAAGAAGCAATGAAGGGATAGAAAAAAGAATATTGAATCATGAAGCTCACCCCTCCCCCTGCAGCAGTGGTGTGGTACGGAGAATGTCTCTGGGTGCTGGAGGAGGGAGAGCACAGCAATTGTGAGGCATTTAACTCAGTGCTGTCCTGTTAGAGCAGAAAGGAAAACTGGACCAAACTCAGCTGATAGCTGCCTGCAGAGGGAGCATTTAAACCAGCCCTAGCCAGAGGGAAATCACTGATCCCAGCAGTCTGAACCTGAGAGCCTACAAACCATGCCACTGAGGGCCACAGTGTGCTGTGTATCTAAACTTGAAAGGCAATCTGGGCCAAAAGGACAACAACTCTTAAGTGAGTTCTAGTGCTGAACCAGGCCCAGAGACAGTGGACTGGGGAGCACGTGACCTACTGAGATGCCAGCTGGGGCAGCCAAGGGAGTGCTGGCATTACCCCTCCCCTAACTTCAGGATACACAGCTCATGGTTCTAAAAGAGAACCCCTTTGTTCTGCTTGAGGAGAGGAGAGGGAAGAGTGGGGAAGGCTTTGTTTTGCATGTTGAATACCAGGGAAGCCACAGCAAGATAGGGTGCCGGTCAGAGTCCTGAGGTTCCTGTTGCAGGCCCTGGCTCCTGGATGACATTACTAGACATACCCTGGGCCAAAAGGGAACACACACACTGCCTTGAAGGAAAGGACCAAGACCTGGCAGCATTCATCACCTTCTGACTGCAGAGCCTTTGGGCCCTGAATAACAAGCATCAATACACAGGAGCTACGTCAAGGGCCTTGGGTGAGCCTCAGACTTGCTGGCTTCAGGTGAGACTCAGCACAATACCAGCTGAGGTGGCTAGGGAGCAAAACTCCTTCTGCTTGAGAAAAGCAGAGGAAAAAGTAAAGGGGACTTTATCTTGCACTTTAGGTACCAGCACAGTCACAGAGTAGAGCACCAATCAGGGATAGAGCACCAATCAGGCAAGAGGAAGAAATAAAAGGCATCCAAATAGAAAAACAAGTCAAACTATCTTTCTTTGCCGATGATATAATTCTATACCTACAAAACCCTAAAGACTCTGCCAAAAGCCTACTCAAACTTGTAAACAATTTTAGCAAGGTTTCAGGATAAAAAAATCAATGTGCAAAAGTCACTTCTATATACCAATAACATCCAGGCAGACAGTCAAATCAAGAACACAATGCCATTTCCAATAGCCACAAAGAAAATGCAATACCTAGGGATACAGCTAACCAAAGAGGAGAACGATTTCTACAAGCAGAAATATAAAACACTGTTGAAAGAAATCAGAGGTAATACAAATAAATGGAAAATCATTCCATACTTATAAATTAAATGAATCAATATTATTAAAATGGACATATTCCCCAAAACAATGTACAGATTGAACACTATTCCTATCAAACTACAACACTATTCTTCACATAATTAGAAAAAACTATTCCAAAATTCATATGGAAACAAAAAGCCCAAATAGCCAAAGCAATCCTGAACAAAAAGAACAAAGCTGGAGGCATCACAGTATCCAACTTCAAACTACACTATAAGGCTACAGTAACCAAAACAGCATGGTAGTGGTATAAAAACAGACACAGACTGTATTTGTCTGTTCTCATGCTGCTGATAAAGACATACCTGAGACTGGGTAATTTATAAAGAAAGAGAGGTTTAATGGACTCACAGTTCCACGTGGCTGGGGGAAGACTCACAATCATAGAGCAAAGTGAAAGGCACACCTTACATGGCAGGAGACAAGAGAGAATGAGAGTCAAGAAAAAGAGGAAAACCCTTATAAAATCATCAGCTCTTCTGAGACTTACTACCACAAGAACAGTATGGGGGAAACCATCCCCATGATTCAATTACCTCCCACTGGGTCCCTTTCACAACACGTGGGAATTATGAGTGCTACAACTCAAGATGAGATTTGGGTGCGGACACAGCCAAACCATATCGCAGACCAATGGCACAGAATACTCAGAAATAAAGCCATATACCTGGAACCATGTGATCTTCAACAAGGCCAGCAAAAGTAATGGGGAAAGGACTCCCTATTCAATAAGTGATGCTGGGATAACTTGTAACCATATGCAGAAAAATGAAACTTGACCCTTACATTTTACCATATACAAAAGCTAACTCAAGATGGATTAAAGATTTAAATGAAGGCTCAAACTATACAAATCATAGAAGAAAACCTAGGAAATATGCTTCTCGACATTGGCCTTGGCAAATAATTTTTGGCTAAGTCCCCGAAAGCAATTGCAACAAAACCTAAAATTGTCAACTGAGACCTAATTAAAGAGCTTCTGCACAGTAAAAGAAACTATCAACAGAGTAAATGGAAAACCTCCTGAATGGGTGTTGTGAAGAAAATCTTCTCAAGCCATGCATCCGCGAAATGTTTAATATCCAAAATTTATAAGGAACTTCAATCAAAGTGCAAAAAACAAAAAATCTCGCTAAAAATGGGCAAATCATATGAACAGATATGTCTTAAGGGAAGATATACAAGTGGCCAACGTATGAGAAACTTCTCATCATTAATCATTAGAGAAGTGCAAATCAACATAGCGAGATACCATCTCATATCAGTCAGAAGGGCTATTAATAAACAACAGAGGCTGGAGAGGCTACAGAGAAAAGGGACCTTTTACACTATTGGTGAGAATGTAAATTTGTTCAGCCACCAATAAAGCAGTTCAGAGATTTCTCAAAATAGAACTGCTATTCAACCCATGAATCCCATTATTGGGTATATACCTCAAGGAAAATAGATAATTATACCAAAAAGATACATGCACTCATACATTCATCACCATGCTATTCACAATAACAAAACCATGGAATCAATCTAGGTGTCCATCAATGGTGGATTGGGTAAAGATAATGTGGTACATATATACCATGGAATACTATGCAGCCATAAAAAAAGAGACTATGTCCTTTGCAGCAACATGGATGCAGCTGGAGGCCATAATCCTAAGTGAATCAGTGCATGAATAGAAAACCAAATACCACATTTTCTCACTTATAAGTGGGAGCTAAACACTGAGCACACATGAACATAGCATAGGATTAATGGACACTGTAGACTACTAGAGGGGAAAGGGGAGGAGTATGAAAAACTGCCTATTGGGTACTATGTACAGTCCCTGGGTACGATATACCCATGTAACAAACCTGCACATGTACCTGCCATATCTAAAATAAAAGCTGAAATTAAGCTGAGCACAGTGGCTTACGCCTGTAATCCCAACACTTTGGGAAGCTGAGGCGGGGGAATCACCTGAGGTCAGGAGTTCAAGACCAGCCTGGCCAACATGGTGAAGCCCTGTCTATACTAAAAAATACAAAAATCAGCTGGGTGTGGTGGTAGGTGCCTGTAATCCCAGCTACTCGGGAGGCTGAGGAAGGAGAATCGCTTGGATCTGGGAGGTGGAGATTGCAGTGAGCCGAGATCGCACCACTGCACTCCAGCCTGGCAACAGAGTGAGACTCTGTCTCAAAAAAACAAAAACAAACAAAAAAACCCACCTGTGTGTTAGTTCCTTTTGCATTGCCATAAAGGAGTACCTGGGGCTGGGCAGTGTATAAAGAAGTTTATTTGGGTCACCATTTTGCAGACCATATAAGAAGCACAGTGCCAGCATCTTCCATTTGTGGTCGAAGGTAAAGGGCGAGCAGGTGTGTCACATGGTGAGAGAGGGAGCAAGAGGGAAGGGAGGAGGTTCAGGCTCTTTAAACAACAGCTATCACATGAACTAGTGGAGTGAGAACTCACTCACTACTATGAGGAGGTCACCAAGCCATTCATGGAGGATTCACCCCCATGACCCAAACACCTCCCACCAGGCCCCACTTCCAACATGAGGGGTCAGATTTCAACATGTGATTTGGAGGGGACAAAAATCCAAACTATATTCCATTCCTGGTCCCCCAAATTCATGTCCTTCTCACATTGGAAAATACAGTCATCCCTCCCCAATAGTCTTCAAAAGTTCTAACTCATTCCAGCATCAACTCAAAAGTCCAAAGTCTCATCTGAGACTCAAGGCAAGTTCCTCCCACCTATGAGCATATAAGATCAAAAACAAATTGTTTATTCCCAATATATTAATACAATGGTGACAGAGACATTGAGTGAATATTCCCAACCCAAAAGAGAGAAATTGGCCACAAGAAAGAGGCAACAAGCCCCATGCAAGTCTGAAACCCAGAAGGGAAGACATTAAATCTTCAAGCTTCAATATAATCTCCCTTGATTCCATTTCCCACATTCTGGGTACACGGTTGTGTGGGATGGGCTCACAAGGGCTTAGGCAGCCCTGCCTCTGTGCCTGCTTTGCAAGGTACAGCTGCTGTTCTTGCTCTCATGGGTTGGAGTTGAGTGACTGTGGCTTTTCTAGGCTAAGGTGCAAGTTGCTAGTGGTTCTACCATTCTGGAGTCTGGAGGGCAGTGGCCTCATTCCCACTGCTCCACTAGGTAGTGCCCTGGTGGGGGCTCTCTGTGGGGACTCCAACCCCACATTTTCCCTTGGAACTACCCTAGAAAAGGCTAACCATGGGGGCACTGCCCCTGCAGCAGACTTCTGTCTGGGCACCCAGGCTTTCTGATGTATCCTCTGAAATCTAGGTGGAAACTGCCAAGCCTCCACCACTCTTGCATTCTGCACAATTACAGACTTAATGCCAGTGGAAACTACCAGGGCTTGCAGTTCACACGCTCTGAAGTGGAGGCCTGAGCTCCTGTTTGGGGGCCTTTGAGTGGAGGCTGGACTCGAGATGGCTGGGATAAGGGAAGCAGCACCCCAAGGCAGCACTGAGTAGCAATGCCCCTGGCCTTGTCCCTGAAACCAGTCTGTCCTCTTAGGCCTCTGGGCTTGCAATGGGAGGAGTAGCCTTTTTCTCATTGTCTTGACTAGTAGCACCTGCTTCCCTTTCTGTCATGCTAATCTCTCCAGCAAGTGGTTGTTCCTCATGCCTCTTGGATTCTTATCCTTTGGGTTCCTCTCCTGAAATGTTCTTCCCTTCTCCACCATGAGCCAGGCTGCAGACTTTCCAAGTTTTTACACTCTACTTCCCTTTAAATTGGAAGTCCCAAATTTAAGTCATTCCTTTGTCCCATATCTGATCTTAGATTGGTAGAAGCAGCCTTGCCACTTCTTGAATACTTGGCTGCATAGAAATTTTTTTTTCCTCCAGATACCCTAAGTCATCACTCTGAAGCTCAGCCTTCCACAAAGCCCTAGGACATTGGCACAATGCAGCCAAATTCTTTGCTAAGGTGTAACGAGGGTGACCTGTGCTCCAGCTCCCAATAAGTTCTTCATTTTCATCTGAGACCTCATCAACCTGGCCTTCACTGCCCATATTTCTATCAGCATTTTGGTCATAATCATTTAACGAATCTCCAGTACATTCTGAGAAATAAAAATGAAATCCTAAGCCTTCCCCCCACCCCAGGCTACTGAATGGACCCCCTCTTGGCCAAGGGGACCCCAAAAAAACCTTAAAACTGAGTCCCAGCCCTGATGCAATGGGAGGTCAAACATGCCTCGTCAGAGCCCGTCCCTTGCTAACCACCGCTAGGCTTTCTTCTCTGAAGGCTAAGCAGGAACCAGCCCTTTCTCTTTTTAAAAATTAATTTATTTTACTTTAAGTTCTGGGATACATGTGCCGAGAGTGCAGGCTTGTTACATAGGAATACATGTGCCATGGTGGTTTGCTGCACCTATCACCCTGACATCTAGGGTTTAAGGTATTTGTCCTAATGCTCTCCCTCCCCTTTCCCCTCATTCTCCAACAGGCCACTGTGTGTGATGTTCCTCTCCCTGTGTCCATGTGGTCTCATTGTTGAACTCCCACTTTTGAGAACGTGTGATGATTGGTTCTCTGTTCCTGTGTTAGTTTGCTGAGGATGATGGTTTCCAGCTTCATCCATGTCCCTGCAAAGGACATGAACTCATTCTTTTTTATGGCAGCATAGTATGGTATATATGTGCCACATTTTCTTTATCCAGTCTATCATTGATGAGCATTTGGGTTGGAACCAGCCCTTTCAAAAGAGTCACCTCACCACTGATTTCAACCAACCACCTGATGCTGTTCCTCCCTTTTGCAGTTTCAACAGAACAACCAACCAGCATTCCTTCCTGATAAGAGACCACCAACCACTGAGAGGTTCTGGTCAGTCTAGGAAGGCTGTGCACTGACTGAGGGGTTTTATGTCCTCTGCTTCATCTTTTGAAGTCAGAGGCCCAAAAACTCCCCCGACACATCTTGCTAACACTACCATTTTTTGAACATGGACCCCATGAAGGGGCTTGGAGGTCAACTGAGCATGTGTGTGTTTATTCTTTCGTAAATATTCATGGCTCCTCCTATAGCTTGCTGAATATATATTTGGCCACCTCATTCAGCACAAATCCTTGTTTTATTCTTATACTCCAAGTGCCTGTTTCTGGCTTCTGGCCAGAGGCTATGCTTCCCAGTCATTCTGAATGGCCACCCTGCAGGCTGCAACTATTTATGAGAAATACAGCTCTCCTTTCCACATTTATGAACTTCATTATCCTTTGGTTGACAGTTCTAAATTTTCCCTCATCTTCTTGTCTTCTTCTAAGCCCTCCAAATTCTTCCAATATCTGCCAATTTACTCATTTCCAAAGCTGCTTCCACATATTCAGCTATCTTTATAGCAAAGCCCCACTCCTCAGTACCAATTTTCTGTGTTTGTCCACTTTGCATTGTTACAAATGAATACCTGAGGCTGGGTAATTTACAAAGAAAAGAGGTTTATTTTGGCTCATGGTATGGCAGGCTGTACAGGAAGCATAGTGTTGGCATCTGCTTCAGGTGAAGGCTTCAAGAAGCTTCCACTCATGATGGATGGCAAAGGGGAGCAGGTATATTGCAGTGAGATGGGGGAGCAAGAG